>NC_000023.11:90341329-90644360 GCF_000001405.40 Homo sapiens | reverse complement strand
CTGTTAACATTTCTAATATAGATATATAAATAGATAATCCTAAAACAATGGCCCGTAAGGTTACAGATTAGGGTGAATAAATATAACGTATATAAGCATATTTTATGAATAGTTTACAAATACATATATCCTTAACATTTGTAATTATCAAATTATCAAGTTAACAGAGTGATTACCGTACATGACGTGTTATTATTAAATGTTGTTTTGAGGATATTATTTCTCCATTGGAAGTGTAAAGGCAAGTACTGCAATACTGTGTATAACGCTGTGTATTAGAAAGTGTACTGCTTTGGTAGAAGAACTGTCCTAACCCTGCTGTTCTAGTCTTCTAGCCTTATTTTAAATGTTTCCTCTAAACTTTAGAGTAAAACTTATTTTTAAAAAATTTCAAATAAATATTACCAGTTAAAATGGAAAGCCACATTGTGAAAATGGAATAAGTATTGGACAGTAAACTAGGGGGCCTTCACCTAAATTCTGTTTAGGTCACTTTGAAACCTTCAGGAATATCATATAGCTTATCTGCTTCTTAGGAAGTTGCTTCATGTGAGGGGCTTTAATCAGATTTGTACTCCCCAAATAGTGTTTCACGGAATATTAGTCCCATAAGGTACAACAGAATAAAAGCCTCCATATTCAAATACATCTGAGGAATGTCACATACTATATTCCCATCTTATAGTCAGAAGCATTCTACCTCTTTTAAAAGTTCTGAGAAAATGTGCAGTGGAAAACAATTTTTAAAAACAAACAAAAATCTGTTTAATATTGCCTGATTCAACATTCTGTAAATTTGATAAGAGAACTGCTTTTCAACACAAGGCCTACTTTAATCCTGTAGATGTAATGTTTTAAGGAATACACTTTATAAAACTTTAAACTAGATAATATATGCTTTGTTAACATTTCCAATAATGAAGTGATTACCGTACATGGTGCGTTATTATTAAATGTTGTCTTTGAGAATATTATTTCTCCATTGGAAGAGTGAAGGCAAGTACTGCAAAATTAGCAAACACCCATGGTTGTTTGTGACTTATAGAGTGTAGCATTATCATTAGATTTACGACAGAAAATGGCTTTTGTATGGTAATTCTATCTTGTTCTAAATATTATCTCCAAGCATTTTCACCATTTAATTGTCAGGGAAATAAATGCTTATGTGATTGTGACGAACTCTGTTCTTATCAAACATGATTTACGGAGTCTTGACAATGACCAGTAAGGTGTGGCTGACTGTGCTCACTGTGATTCAGTCACAGTTAAATATCTTATAGTATCTTTGCACTGCCATGAAGAGCTCAAGTGTCGCTCCAAGTATATTACATTCAATCTATTTTTAATATATGTTATATCCTGTATATTGTCAGCCATCTGTGATGGAAAAAGTTTCGATTCAGAGTTTAAGGTATTAAATGAGGAAAGTTTCTTGTTCACTAAACCACAAATTAAATTAATTATCTCCTAAGTCAGTCAAGGTTTCCCAGTAGTAAATAGTTTACCAGAATATATTAAACACTTTAGGAATAGGCATTAAATATTGTGGGCGACAAGGATACCATTTGGTATACTGAAGCAATAACCAGTTTAAAAGTTTATCTATTTATTAAGAGTGCTTCATTTTCTCCCAATATATAGCACAGACACTGGAAGTATCTGGTTCAATATTTTCTAAAGTACATCCTTTTATTCTATTCATAATTTGTGGTTCTGTAGGGCACTAAGAGGCAGTGACATTCAAGCAGAAAATCTTTAAAGAAAAACAATTTGCCTTCACTCATTGACTTTTCTCTCTTTTGATGAGCATTTGGACATTTTAGATTCTGAAGGTCAAAAATGAATCTCTTTTTATATTTATCTTTAATCTAAGCATGTGTGCAAGACCAATAATCTGTACTAAATGTGCTCAGGGAATTATTCTCTCTACCAAAGCAGAGTATTTCTAAATATAGTAAATTATCTTTATTTTTCATTTCTATGACATATACAATTAATGTATCAAAATAAACTTCCTTTATTATTTATTTCCATCACTAGCATTCAATACTAATGATTAATTTGTCATGATAAAAGGATCTGTTCTGTAAGATCTCATATGATGTGATGTAACAACTTATCTCGATTGAATATTTAAGATACATTTATCTGAGAGACAGTTTGATAAGCAACTTCAGCAAAGTCTCAGGATACAAAATCAATGCACAAAAATCACAAGCATTCTTATACACCAATAACAGACAAACAGAGAGCCAAATCATGAGTGAACTTCCATTCACAATTGCTTCAAAGAGAATAAAATACTTAGGAATCCAACTTACAAGGGACGTGAAGGACCTCTTCAAGGAGAACTGCAAACCACTGCTCAATGAAATAAAAGAGGATACAAACAAATGGAAGAACATTCCATGCCCATGGGTAGAAAGAATCAATATCGTGAAAATGGCCATACTGCCCAAGGTAATTTATAGATTCAATGCCATCCCCATCAAGCTACCAATGCCTTTCTTCACAGAATTGGAAAAAACTACTTTAAAGTTCATATGGAACCAAAATAGAGCCCGCATCGCCAAGTCAATCCTAAGACAAAAGAACAAAGCTGGAGGCATCACACTACCTGACTTCAAACTATACTACAAGGCTACAGTAACCAAAACAGCATGGTACTGGTATCAAAACAGAGATATAAATCAATGGAACAGAACAGAGCCCTCAGAAATAATGCCGCATATCTACAACTATCTGATCTTTGACAAACCTGAGAAAAACAAGCAATGGGGAAAGGATTCCCTATTTAATAAATGGTGCTGGGAAAATTGGCTAGCCATATGTAGAAAGCTGAAACTGGATCCCTTCCTTACACCTTATACAAAAATTAATTCAAGATGGATTAAAGACTTAAACATCATTAGATCTAAAACCATAAAAACCCTAGAAGAAAACCTAGGCATTACCATTCAGGACATAGGCATGGGCAAGGACTTCATGTCTAAAACACCAAAAGCAATGGCAACAAAAGCCAAAATTGACAAATGGGATCTAATTAAACTAAAGAGGATCTGCACAGCAGAAGAAACTACCATCAGAACGAACAGGCAACCTACAAAATGGGAGAAAATTTTCACAACCTACTCATCTGACAAAGGGCTAATATCCAGAATCTACAATGAACTCCAACAAATTTACATGAAAAAAAACAAACAACCCCATCAAAAAGTAGGCAAAGAATATGAACAGACACTTCTCAAAAGAAGACATTTGGGCAGCCAAAAGACACATGAAAAAATGCTCATCATCACTGGCCATCAGAGAAATGCAAATCAAAACCACAATGAGATACCATCTCACACCAGTTAGAATGGCAATCATTAAAAAGTCAGGAAACAACAGGTGCTGGAGAGGACGTGGAGAAATAGGAACACTTTTACACTGTTGGTGGGACTGTAAACTAGTTCAACCATTGTGGAAGTGGGTGTGGTGATTCCTCAGGGATCTAGAACTAGAAATACCATTTGACCCAGCCATCCCATTACTGGGTATATACCCAAAGGACTATAAATCATGCTGCTATAAAGACACATGCGCACGTATGTTTATTGCGGCACTATTCACAATAGCAAAGACTTGGAACCAACCCAAATGTCCAACAGTGATAGACTGGATTAAGAAAATGTGGCATATATACACCATGGAATACTATGCAGCCATAAAAAATGATGAGTTCATGTCCTTTGTAGGGACATGGATGAAATTGGAAATCATCATTCTCAGTAAACTATCGCAAGGACAAAAAACCAAACACCGCATGTTCTCACTCATAGATGGGAATTGAACAATGAGAACACATGGACACAGGAAGGGGAACATCACACTCTGGGGACTGTTGTGGGGTGGGGGGAGGAGGGAGGGATAGCATTAGGAGATATAGCTAATGCTAAATGATGAGTTAATGGGTGCAGCACACCAGCATGGCACATGTATACATATGTAACTAACCTGCACATTGTGCACATGTACCCTAAAACTTAAAGTGTAATAATAAAAAAAAGATACATTTATCTGAGAGTGTTGCCAATATAATGTATTTTATGTTGACATATATATTTATTAAGCTATGGTATCTATCTATATTTTATATATATATATATCTCAAGCTTTTTCTCTATATAAAGATATAGTATGTACAGATACATATATCTATATCTATCTGTATATAATCTATGTAATGTGAAGGTATATATTTCAATAACCTGAAAGTGATAAAGCTTAACATATTGAAATGCACAAAGGAACCGCTTCTATTTTACTCAGTGTCTATTCTGCATTATTTTGTCTATGACATGTCATTTTTATAGCACATCTCTGATTTTGCCACTCCTGTATTTAAAAATATTGAAAAACTCAGGTTTGTTACAGTGTATTTGGCTAGCCTGATAGTCAAAAATGTTCATCTTCTAGTCTCAACGCAGGTTTCTAAATAACTTTCTACTAAAATCCACTAAACTGAAGTAGTGAATGTCTCACACTTGTCCAAAAATATCATGGATTCACTAAATCTCTTGTGACTTTGTTTAAGGTATCTCATTTGCTTGGAATTTCTAATTCATAACTCATATTTGAACTATTTTTGTCAAAATGCAAAAAGCATTTATTCTTTAAATCCATCTTACAGTATCTCATTCATAAAGGTTGTTTTTATCCTCTAAACTAAAATAATATCCCTCATGTCAACATCTATGCTATGTTCAGTTTCCCTTTTGCATTTATTATAAATAAAATTGACGGTCATTATATAAATACTCTATTTCCCTACAATGTGTTAATCTTCTTATGGGTAGATGCAGCATCTTATTCATTGCTTTTTCTCCCATATCAACTTGTGTGCTGTTTGGCACATAGCATGGTTTCAAGAACTGAACATATTTTTTATATTATTAATCATCATTGGCTGTGGAGGTCTGGAATAATAACAATTTTATCTCCCAAGAATTTACATTCCTATGAAGAAATAAACTACTACTTAATTGCTTTAATTTTAGTTTATTAGAGTTCTTCTATTTTGTTTTGTAATCTCATTTAAACTTTCCAAAAATTGTTATAAGGACAACATTATCAACCCTGTTTTAAAATGAAGAAACTGAGGCTCCAAAAGTTTCAGTAATTAGCTAAAGGTCACACAGAATATAAGTGGTAGAGTCAGAGAACAAATAGATTTTGAGAAAAGAAAAGGAAAAGAAATAAGAAAAGAAAACCCAACAAAAATGAGAGAAAACAAAGAAAAAAATTTACGTTACACACATGAAATTTCATTCTGGGGTTTGCTAACTACAAGTTTGTTATTCTTTTCTCAGTAACACTAAGGGGATTGTATTAGAAAAGTGGGTGCTCCTAGGCTAAGAGTAATGGACTGTCTACAATATACCAGGTATGGTGCCAGTCACTTTACATTTAATAACAAATATAGCCCTATAAGATAGAAATTAAGTTTTCTTAACTTTCATTTTAGATATAATGAGTCTATGTACAGATATGTTACATGGGAATGTTGTATGATGCTGAGGTTTGGAGTGTGGGTCTCATCACCTAGGTAGTGATCATAGTACCCAATAGGTGGTTTTTAACCAGGAAACCCCTCCCTCCACCCTCTAGTATTCCACGGTGTCTGGTTGTCCCATATTTATGTCCATGTGTGTTCCATGTTTAGCTCCCACTTATAAGTAAGAACATGCAGTATTTGGTTTTCTGTTCTTAATTTGTTTAAGATTATGGCTTCCAGCTCTATCCATGTTGCCACAAAATACATGATTTCAACCCTTTTTTGTGGCTGCATAGTATTCCATGGTGTATATGGACCACATTTTCTTTAACAATCTATCATTGATGGGCACCCAGGTTGAGTCCATGTCTGCTATTGTGAATAGCACAACAATGAACGTAAGAGAATACGTGTCTTTTTGATAGAATGATTTATTTTATCTTCGGTATATACCCAATAATGGAATTGCTGGATCAAATGGTAGCTCTGTTTTAAGTTTTTTAAGAAATCTCTAGATGTTTTCCCACAGTGACTGGACTAATTTACATTCCCACCAACATGGTATATTTGTTCCCATTTTTTCCACAGCCTGGCCAGAGTGTTGTTTCTTGACTTTTTATCAGTGGCCATTCTGACTGATGTGAGATGGTATCTTATTGTGTTTTCGATTTAAATTTTCTAATAATTAGTGATGTTGAGCACTTTTTTATTTGTTTGTTGGCCACTTGCATATCTTCTTTTGAGGAATGTCTCTTCATGTCTTTTGCCCATTTAAAAACAAAGTGGAGTTATTTGTTTTTTGCTTTCTGATTTGTTTGAGTTTCTCATGGATTCTGGATATTAGACATTTGTTAGATACATAGTTTGCAAATATTTTCTCCCATTCTGTAGGTTGTCTGTTTACTCTGTTGATGGTTTCTTTTGCTGTTCAGAAGCTCTTCAGTTTAACTGTATCCCTTTTGTAAATTTCTGTTTTTGTTGCAATTGCTTTTGAAGACTCAGCCATAAATTCTTTGGCAAGGAAAATATGAAAAGGAGTATTTCCTAGGTTGTTTTTCAGGATTTTTATAGTTTGAGGCCTTTCATTTAAGCCATTTTGAGTTAATTTTTGTATATGGTAAAACATGGAGATCTAGTTTCAATCTTCTGTATATGGCTAGCCATTTATCCCAGTACCATTTATTGAATAGGATGTCTGTTCCCCATTGCTTCTTTTGCTCAGTCTCATTAAAGATCAGATGGCTGCAGGTGTTCAGCTTTATTTCTGAGTTTTCTATTCTTTTCCATTGGTCTATGTGTCCATTTTTGTATCGGTACCAAGCTGTTTTGGTTACTGTGGCTTTCTAGTGTAGTTTGAAGATGGGTAGTGTGATGCCTCCAGCTTTGTACTTTTTGCTTGGGATTGTTTTGGATATTAGGGCTCTTTTTTGGCTTTATATTCATTTTAGATTAGTTTTCTAATCCTGTGAAAAATGATGTTGGTTGTTTGATAGGAATAGTATTAAATCTGTACATTTCTTTGGGCTATATGGCCATTTTTATAATATTGATTTTTCTAATTTGTGAGCATGGAATGTTTTTCCATTTAGTTTTGTTATCTTTGAATTCATTCAGCACTGTTTTGCACTTCTCTTTGTAGAGATCTTTCACCTAATTAGCTGAATTTTTCGGTATTTCATTTTGTTTGTGCCTATTGTAAGTGAGATTGTGTTCTTGATTTCACTTTTAGTCTGGATGTTGTCAGTGGAAAGAAATGCTACGAATTTTTGTACATTAATTTTATATCCAGAAACTTTACTAAAGTTGTTTATTAGTTCTGGGATCTTTTTGGCAGAGCGTTTAGGATTTTTTAGGTACAGAGTCACATTGTCTGCAAAGAGAGATAGTTTCACTTTTTCTTTTAATATTCAGGTGCATTTTATTTCTTTCCTTGCTTGATTGTTCTGCCTAGGACTTCCAATACTATACTGAACAGCAGGAATGAGAGTAGGCATCCCTGTCTTGCTCCAGTTCTCAAGAGAAAAGCTTCCAGTTTTTGCTCATTTAGTATGATGTTGGCCGTGAGTTTGTTGTGGATGGTTATTATTGCTTTGAGGTATGTTCATTCAATGCCTAGTTTTTGAGGGTTTATATCATAAGTGGATTTTGATTTTTACTGAAAGCTTTTACTCTGTCAATTGAGATAATCCAAATGATTTTTAATTCTGTTTGTATGGTTAAACACATTTATTGATTTGCATCTGTTGAATCAGACTTGTGTCCCAGAAATAAGCCCACCTGATTGTGTTGTGTTAACTTTTTGATGTGCTGTTGCATTCAATTTGCTGGTATTTTATTGTGAATTTTGTGCATATTTTCATGAGGCATATGGGTGTAAAGTTTTAATTTTTCATTGTGCAGGATTTTGGTATCGGGCCGATGCTGCCTTCATAGAATGAGTTAACGAGGAGAACCTCTTCCTCAATTTTTTGGAATAGTTTCAGTAGGATTGGTGTCAGATCATTCTATGTCTGATAGAATTCATCTGTGAATTCATCTTTTACTGGGGTTTTTATTTGGTTGGTAGGTTATTTATTACTGATTCAATTTTAGAAGTTTACATTGGTCTATTTGGAGTTTAATCTCTTCCTTATTCAATTTTATAAGATTGTGCACTTCCAAGAATGTATCCATTTCCTTTAGATTTTTTAATTTGTGTGCATAGAGTTGTTCGTAGTAGTCTCTGAGTATCTTTTGTATTTCTATGGGATCAGTTTTAATATCACCTTCGTCATTTCTTATTGTGCTTATTTGGATCTTCTCTTTCATGTTCTTTATTAATCTAGCTAAGGGCCTATCAATGTTATTTATTTTTTTGAAGAAACAATTATTGGTTTCATTGATATTTTTAATGAATTTTTGCATCTCAATTTCATTTAGTTCTTATCTAATTTTAGTTATTTCTTTTATTCTGGTAGCTTTGGGGTTGATTTGTTCATTTTTCTGTAGTTTCTTTAGGTGCAAAGTTAGACTATTAATTTGAAATCTTTCTAACATCTTGATGAATGCATTTAGAGATATAAACTTTCCTTTTAACACTACTTGGCCTGCATCTCAGAGATTTTGGTAAGTTGTGTGCTTATTTTTATTAATTTCAAGGAAGTTTTGTATTTAAGTTTAAATTTCAATGTTCCCTAAGTAGATATTCATGAATAACTTGTTTAATTTTCATGCATTTTTATAGTTTTGAGAGATCTTATTTATATTGATGTATATTTTTATTGCACTGGGATGCAAGAGTGTGCTTGATATGATTTCAATTTGTTTTGCATTTATTCAGGCTTGCTTTATGACTGAGTAGGTGGCCAATATTAGACTATATTCTGTGTGCAGATAAGATGAATGTATATTCTGCGGCTGTTGGGTAGCGTTTCTATAGGTGTCTATTAGGTCCAATTGGTCAAGTGTCAAGTTTAAGTCCAGAGTTTCTTTGTTAGATTTTTGCCACAATTATTTATTGTAATCCTATCACTGTGGTGTTAAAATCTTCCACTATTATAGTTTGTTTGTCTGTTTTTTTTTTTTCATACGCCAAGAAGTTGTTTTATGAATCTGTGTTCTCCAATGTTTGGTGTATATACATTAAAGATCGTTAAAGTTTCTTGCTGAATTGTACTATTTATCATTATGTAATGCCCTTCATGATCCTTCTTAATTTTTATTAGTTTAAATTCTGTTTTATCTGACATAAGAATAGCTCTTTTTTTGTTTTCTATTTGTATGATAGATCTTATTCCACAATTTTACTTGTAGCCTGTGAGTTTCTTTACATGTGAGAAGGGTCTCTTAAAAACAACAGATGGCTGGTTCTTGTATTTTTATTCAGTTTCCCACTCTGTATGTTTTTAAGTGAGGCGTTCAGTTCATTTACATTGAAGGTTAGTGTGATATGTGTGATTGTGATCCTGTCATTGTGTTGTTAGCTGGTTATGTAGACTTTATTACAGTTACTTTATAATGTATGTGGGCTGTGTGCTTAAGTGTGTCTTTGTTGTTGTTATTCTTTTTAATCTATGTTTAGCACTCCTTTAAGGACCTTTTGTGAGGCTCTTCTTATATGAAATTGTATTTCCTTAGCATTTGCTTGTCAGAGAAAGCTTTTATTTCTCCTTCACTTATAAAGCTTAGTTTGGCAGGATATGAAATTCTTGGGTGGAATTTCTTTTCTTTAAGGGCACTGAAACTAGGCCCCCAATCTTTTCTGGCTTATAAGGTTTCTGCTGAGAGATCTGATGGTAGCCATATGGAGTTCTCTCTGTATGTAACCTGACCGTTCTCTCTAGCTGCCTTTAAGATCTTTTTCTTTGCATTGACCTTGGTGAACTTGATGACTATGTGCCTTTGGGAGGGTCATCTTGTACAGTATCTGGTTGAGGCTCTCTGTATTTCTTGGACTTGCATGCCAAGCTCTCTATCAGGTTTACGAAAATTTTTATGTACTATTCTCCCACATATATTTCCCAGGCTTCTTATTCTCTCTTTTTCTCTCTCAGGAATGCCAATGAATCATAGATTTTATCTCTTTACATAATCCATTATTTATCAGAGGTTTTGTTCAATTTTCTTCATTCTTTATTTTTGTCTTACTGAGTTGATTTAAAGAACCGGTCGTCAAGCTCTGAGCATTTTTTCTTAGCTTGATCTACTCTTCCTTTAATAACACTGATTGTATTATACAATTCTTTTAGTGATTTTTTTAACCTAAGAAGTTCAGTTTGGGTCTTTTATAAAATGAGTATTTCATCTTTCAAATACTGAATTGTTTTAATGAATTACTTGGCTTTTTTGGATAGAGTTTTGTATTAGGGTTCTCTAGAGGGACAAAATTAATAGGATATATATATATACATCCTTATATATAGATATATATAATATATATAATATATAGATATAGACTAGATATAGGCTAGATCCTATATCTATATATATTGATATATATATCAATCATATATATCGATATATATATAGATATATATATATCAAGATATATCTTGATATATATATATCAAGATATATATATAGATCTATATATATTGATATATATATCAATCATATATATCGATATATATATAGATATATATATATCAAGATATATCTTGATATATATATATCAAGATATATATATAGATCTATATATATCAAGATATATATATAGATATATCTATCAAGATATATATATCGATATATATATAGATATCGGATCTATCCTATATATATATAGATATAAGATATATATATGTATCTGTATATGTGGGAGATTATTAAGTATTAACTCATATGATCACAAGGTCCCACAATAGGCCATCTGCAAACTGAGGAGCAAGTAATGCCAATCCGAGTCCCAAAACTGAAGAACTTGGGGTCCAATGTTTGAGAGAAGGAAGCATCCAGCACTGGAGAAAGATGTAGGTTGGGAGGCTAGGCCAGTCTAGTCTTTTCACATTTTTCTGCCTGCTTTATATTCCAGCTGCCCTGGCAGCTAATTAGATGGTGTACACCCAGACTAAGGGTGGGGGTACTTTTCCCAGCCCACTGACTCAAATGTTAATCTCCTTTGGCAAAACCCTCACGGACACACCCAGGATCAATACTTCGCATCCTTCAATCCAAACAAGTTGACACTCAGTATTAACAATCACAAGTTCACCCCTTGTCAACTTGAAACCATACACGTTATGGTCATATTTATGCCTAACATAATATATTTATCCTTCATACAACTGGAAATGCACCAATCCCCAACCCAAATGCTATTACATAAAGTTAACAATACTTAAATGCTGATATGAAGTTAATAAATCTTATGTCACATGATAAAGGAAAAAGGAAACAAAAAGGAAAATATTTTCTTAGAAGTGCATACATTCACAAACATGTTTTCAACAAAAGAAAGAGAAAATAGTCATGAAAATCAGAGTCCTCATTTCTGCAGCTGGCCATGTGACAGTAGCTGGTATTGATGACTAACTTCTTCTACTGTCCATTCTGTATTCCTTTTGCCTTCAGCAAGCACCTCAGCAGGTCGTGGTTTTTTTCCTGGTGGAGTGACCCAAACCTTCATTCCTAAAGAGTCTGGGTTATTTGTAGTTCTGCCTGGATTGGGCTGTTGTAGTTTCCCATTGAGCTTAACCATAGGGCATGTTAACACCAACAGATGCCCTAATGGATCTCCTGTATTCCATATATACTCTTCCTTACCTCCCTTGTGGAGTAGTAGACTGATTTCACCTTGATATTCTGGGTCATTTACCCCAGCCAACACTGTAACTCCCTTCTTAGCCTTTTGACTTAAAGGTAGGGGGAGCCCAAAGTGTCCAGGTGGCAATCTTAACTTCCAGTTTAATGGAATCATTGTTGTTTCTTTTGGTGGCAGCGTACCTCCCTCTGGAGCTAAGACCTCTAGGTCAGCAGAACGTAATGTCACAGGAACAGGAAGAAAAATTTTACTAGTGAGTCACTAGGGGTGATAGTGAGTGGTGCCCCTTCCACTTCCACCCCTCGATTCCTGGAATCATGAATCCTTGCTGTGGGAGAAACAATACCATGTATTGGACGCTGATTCAGAGCATACAGGACCTTCTGGAGAATTTTGCCCCAGCCCTGCAAAGTATTGTCACCTAGTTGGCATTGTAATTGTGACTTCAAAAGGACATTCCACCATTCTATCAATCTAGCTGTCTCAGGATGATGGCACACGGTAAGATCAGTGGATTCCTCAAGCATGAGTCCATTGTTGAACTTCTTTAGATGTAAAGTGCGTGCCTTGATCAGAGGCAATGCTGTGTGGAATACCATGATGGTGGATAAGGCATGCCGTGAGTCCACAGATGGTCATTTTGGCAGAAGCATTGTGTGCAGGATAGGCAAATCCATATCCAGAATAAGTGTCTATTCCAGTGGGGACAAACCTCTGCCCTTTCTATTATAGAAGAGGTCCAGTATAATCAACCTGCCACCAGGTAGCTGGCTGATCACCCGGAGGAATCGTGCCATATCCAGGGCTCAGTGTTGGTGTCTGCTGCTGACAAACTGGGCACTTGGCCATAGCCAGGTCAGCCTGGGTAACTGGAAGTCCATGTGGCTGAGCCCATGTATAACCTCCATCCCTGCCACCATGGCCACTTTGTTCATGTGCTTCGTCAGTGTCCTCCCACACGTTCCCATTCCATGTTGCAGGGTCCCATTCTTTTTCAGTCAATGCCCTCAATTTAACAGTAGACACGTGGCAAGGTTTTGCATGCACCTTTTGCTGCAGGTCAGCCACTCGCATGATAAGAGCTTGTGTCTGTTTTTCCACAATTTCAGCTCTTTCTCTACAGGAGTTAAGACTCTCACTCAGGGTAATCTTAGCAGATTTGAGGCTAAGTATCTGCTTCTGAAGCCAGGAGTTAGAAATTCTGAGCTCATCATTTTCTTTCATCATTTTGTACACTGAATTTAGGAGCAATTAACCAGTTTCATTATGTTCTTTTGTTCTCCACATACGGTCAAAGATATTATGTATAGAGTCACTAAACTCTTTGCTTCTCATGAGCAGTGAATCAGGAGTGCCAAATGCATTTATTTTGCATAACTCTCTAAACAGTTCACATCAAGGACTATCAGTGTTCTCCATACTATGAGAAATACAGTCCTTAGTATTTTGGGGTCTAATCATCTTAAGCAGCCAACTTAGGAACCCCAAAACCAATGAAAGAAGTCCATACTTAATATTCTGTTCCTCTAGAACCACTTCTGGTACCAAAATCTGTAATTAGGGTTCTCTAGAGGGACAGAGCTAATAGGTTATATATATATACATATATGGGAGTTTATTAAGTATTAACTCACACAATCACAATCACAATCCCACAATATGCCAACTGCAAGCTGAGGAGCAAAGAAGGTCAGCCCGAGTCTCAAAACTGAATAACTTGGAGTCTGATGTTTGAGGGCAGGAAGGGTCCAGAACTGGAGAAAGATGTAGATTGGGAGGATAGGCCAGTCTAGTCTTTTCACGTTTTTCTGCCTGCTTTGTATTCTAGCCACGCTGGCAGCTGATTAGAGGGTGCCCACCCGGATTAAGAGTTGGTGTGCCTTCCCGGCCTGCTGACTCAAATGTTAATTTCCTTTGGCAATACCCTCACAGACCCACCCAAGATCAATACTTTTCATCCTTCAATCCAATCAAGTTGACACTCAGTATTAACCATCACAAGTTTCAACTCTCTACTTGATGTTGATAAGCATTCTTGTCATCAAGAGTCTGATTTTTTTTTTTTTTTTTTTTTTTGAGACGGAGTCTCGCTCTGTCGCCCAGGCTGGAGTGCAGTGGTGCGATCTCGGCTCACTGCAAGTTCCACCTCCTGGGTTCACGCCATTCTCCTGCCTCAGCCTCCCAAGTAGCTGGGACTACAGGTGCCCACCACCATGTCCAGCTAATTTTTGTATTTTTAGTAGAGACGGGGTTTCACCCTGTTAGCCAGGATGGTCTCAATCTCCTGACCTCATGATCCACCCGCCTTGGCCTCCCAAAGTGCTGGGATTACAGGCGTGAGCCACTGTGCCTGACCCAACAGTCTGATTTTTATGTCTATCATTTCAGACAATTTAGACTAGTTAATAAACATTGCTCTGGATCTAGTGGGCTTATGTGGAGGTAAGGGGACAACCTGTTTGTTTGTTTGTTTGTTTGTTTTTTGCCAGAGTTCCTGCATTGTTTTTTCTCATCGGGCAGGGTAGTATTGCCTTAATTGTGGTGTAAATTGAGTATACTCGGTTGGTTTCATTTCTGGAAGTTTTCACAGAGCTAAGACTCTACAGGGTCTTTGTTATTGAATTTTTGCTCTCGGTTTCACAGTGTGTGATAATTATTAGTAATTTTTGATGTTCTAGTTTTGGCAGCAATCCAGTGTATGGCTCTTGGGAGCAATGGGAAATAGATAAGCTCTTACCCAGCCATGATGTTTCATTGCGTATCTTTATATTTTCAGCTCTGTTATGTGGTGTAAGGGCTAGAGAGGTGACCCCTCACCAGGTTTCCTTGTGGGCCTTTGGAAAGCCGTCTCAAATCACAGGCACTGTGCTTGCAATTTTATTGTTGTTATGTTTTTCAGGACATGGGACTTTCTTGGGGAGAGGTGTGGTAGGAAAATAAGCCACACTCTTACCAGAATAGCCCTGTGGAGAGTGGCATGTAAAGATCTCATGCCAGGTCATAAATTTGTGCGACTCAGCATTCAGTTTTCTGGGAGTGTGGGCTTCTCCTCCATTCAAGTGTCAAGCACAGTGGGGGCGGGGAGGAGGGGAGCAGGGTGGAGTCTCCCTGTTGCCCAGGCTAGAGTGCAGTGGCACAATCTCGACTCACTGCAACCTCTGCCTCCCAGGCTCAAGCAATTCTCCAACCTCAGTCTCCCTGGTAGCTGGGCTTGCAGGCACGTGCCACCATGCCCAGCTAGTTTTTGTATTTTTAGTAGAGACAGGGTTTCCCCAGGCTGGCCAGGCTGGTCTCACACTCCTGACTTCACTTGATCCACCCGCCTTGGCCTCCCAAAGTGCTGGGATTATAGGCATGAACCACCGCGCCTGGCCCTAACTCAGCACGTTTGAGCTGCAGGCCACAGCCCTGGGGTGTCAGGACCTGCTTGCAACTTACTCCCCCATATGCTTGGGGTTAGATTCTAAATGCAGTGGGGAGATCCAAAGGGCTCCCAGGCTACCAGAATGCACTCGGGTGGAGAAAGCAACCAGGCTGAGCAGTGGAGTCTCTATTGCATACACACCCCAATGGGGCAGCAAGACAGAATTCCTGGGAGGGTCTAGTGAGAGGATGGGCCTAAAGGACAGATGTTCCCCAGTCCTGTGTGGAAACAGGCCCTGCTTTTTCCTAGGCAGTTTTAGCTGTGCCCAGGACCTCTCAGAGTAAGATGCGCAGCCCTGGGGTGTGGGAGCTTATGGCGAACCTCCGCCAGAGCTGACCCAAACTCAAACATCTCTGGCTTCTCACCTGCTGCAGCTCCACCTCAATATAATCTCTGGGGAGATCCGCTGTCAACTTGTCTATGGGGCTGTGGGTTCCCCTGCACTGAGTATCCCAGAGGTACAAAGTGAGGATGAGGAGCCCCCATTCCCTTCACTCATCCCTTCCCAGGCATCATTTGGGACTGGGAACAAGTCATAGCACTCAGACACCCCATGCGGGGTTCCCAACTTCCTTCCTCTTCAGCCTCAGTGTCCACACCTTTTCTCCATCCACATTTGACATTTTCAGTTCAAGATCTGTTCAAATTGTGTTGGTGTAATAAAAATTGTGGTCTCTCTCTGTGGGATTGGCACTTCCCAGCTGCATCTAGTTAGCTGTCTTTCCCGGATCCTCTAGAATTTGTGATACAAAAATAATTTGTATTAAGATATAGAATGTATTCAGGGAGGAAAAGAGGAGTGAATAACTATCAATAAATTTCCAAGAGAATGCTAAAATTAAAATCAAAACAACATACACAAAATTATGCTCATAATATCATTGAATTTGGTATATGTCATGTTAAATTTGGACTCCATTAATTTTTAAAATACTAAAACGTCTAAAATATAAGGCCCATTATTCTGATAGATAAGTTTTTTGGCAGTGATCATGAGAAGATATAAGTGAAATGATATTATAAGCCTACTTCTTCTCAGATATTTCCAAACTTATAAATGGTCAGAATCTAAATGTACTCACTTTAAATATCATATTCATATACAGATATTCCTTAATTTATGATGAGGTTATGTCCTAATAAACTCATCATAAGCTGAAAATATCAGAGGTCAAACATGCATTTAATACCCTGATAAACCCATCATAAAATGAAAAAATTATAAATTGAACCATTATAAGTTTAGAACCACGTGTGAGTTAATCAGGGTTCTCAAGAGGGACAGAAAAAATAATACATATATATTATAAAAGGAAGTTTATTAGGGAGAATTGGCTTACACAATAGGATCTCTGCAAACTAGGGAAATAGGGAAGCTGGTAGTGGCTCAGTCCAAATCCAAAAGCTTCAAAACTAGGGAAGGTAACAGTGTATATCTCAGTCTGAGAGTCCCTGGGAGGCCACTGGTGCAAATTTTGGAGTTCAAAACCTGAAGAACGAGGAGTCTGATGTACAAGAGCAGGAGGAAAGGAAGCAAAGCATCCATCAAAGGCAAAGAGAGAGTTTGAGAAAACTCAGCATGCTCTTTATCCCATTTTCACCACCTGCTTTGTTCTATTTGCACAGGATGCTTCCCACCCACATTGAGGGTGTCTTCCTCTCCCAGGTGTCAGTCAATCTACTCTGGCAACACCCAGACACACCCGGAAAGATTACTTTGTCAACCATATAGGCATCCTTCAATCCAGTCAAGTTAACAACCAATAATAACCATCACAATCTGTATATCCTGATATTCTCAAATCTCAATATTTACATTAAAATTATAAATTCAATCATCCATGTGTCAAATGGATCTTGAAACATATGAATCATTGTGACAATATTTTCTATAGTGAATGTTTTTCAATGTGACATTGCCATTTTTTTCCATTGAGAACAAGAGTCTATTTTATCCTTTCCTAAAATAATGTGACATTTGCATTCCTCCCATTAAGAAGTGGTGTCTACTTATTCTTCTCCTTAAAACTGGGTTGCTCCTATGACTTACTTTGCCTGATGGATTGTTAGGGAAGTGATGTCGTGCCTATTCTGAGTCTATACTTCATAAGACCTTAACACTTCTGTATTTAACATTTTGTGACTCTGAGACAAAAGGCTATAAAAATCTTGGGATAGTAGGCCACATGTAATGAGATGTCAAGACATCCCAATTATACCAGGTATCCCAGTTGAGTCTATAGACATATGAGGGAGGTCATCTTAAATCATCTGGCACTAGATAATCTGCCATCTGACTGTATCCATGAGAATGAGGCCAGGCAACTCTAGAAGAACCACTCAGTCAACATGTGAAACCTTGAGAAATAATAAGTGATTATTGCATTAAAATACTAAGTTTTGGGGTACTTTGTTATTGACTAATAGATAATTTATACTAATTGACACCTAAGACTTCATGTAAGTCTAAGTCTGTAAAACAATATTTTTCTTAAATAAAATCTAAGATAATTGATCAGGTTGCTTTTATGGCCTGGCTATGAGAATATAACATATGCACTTAACTTGGTATAAAGAATAGCCATAAAAACATACTTTTTTTAGTATATTATTATTGACATGTATAATTTGGTCTAAATGCCCATTTAAGTTTCCTTCTAGTATGCTGAGGCTAGACAACTAATGACTCTATATCAAGACCCCTTTTACACTAAAGTTATATAAGTAAATTTGATACTGACTGTTACGTGTTGCCTGAAAAATTTAGAAGAGGAAAATGAATCAGGGGACATTTATATACTGCTTTGGTGATTGCTGCTGGCAATCAAATTCTTGAAGTGTTAAATCTCTCTCTCTCTCTCTCTCTCCGTGTGTGTGTGTGTGTGTGTGTGTGTGTGTGTGTGTGTGTGTGTGTTCTGCCATCCAGTTTCTACTCAGCAGCTCATGAGTGTTGACAGACAGTTATGGTGGGTAGTGATAGCTGTTCACTTCCTGCATTAGTGCTGAATGAGTATTATAATGAAGTTAACCATTCTATAAAGAGCTTCTTGACTCCCCCACTTTCATGACACACATGAGTGTGTCAGAGGTAGCAGCTCCCTGAAAGACAGTTGGTGCTTTTGTTCTTGACATTATTTTTTTGTAAAGCCCACTGTTGAATCTCCTGCAGAACGTTTGTAGGTACCTAGATTCCACATAGGAGATTAATTGGTATTTGTCTTTATGTGCATGGCTTCTTTCACTTAGGATAATATCCTCTGTGTCCACCCGCATTGTTGCAAATGAAAGAATTTTCTTTTTAATGGCTAATAATATTCCACCCTGTATATACATCGCACTTTTTTTTATCTATTAGTTTACTGATAGCAACTTGGGTTGATTTTATATTTTGGATATTGTGAATAATGTTGCAATAAACATGGGAGTGTAGATGTTTCTTCAACATGTTAATTTCAATTCTTTTGGCTATATATCCAGTAGTGTGATTGCTGGATCATATGGTAATACTATTTTTTTGTTTTTTTGAAGAACATCTGTACTGTTTTTCATAAAGGCTGTATAATTTGCATTCCTAAAAGCAGTGTACAGAGTTATCTTTCCTCTGATACTCACCAACACTGGTTATCTTTTACTTTTTTTTTATAATAGCCATTCTAACAGGTATGAAGTAATACCTCATTATGGTTTTAATTTTCTTTTCCTAATGACTAATGATATCAAGCAATTTCTCATATGTCTGTTAGCTGGGTGTGGCTTCTCTTGATTGCTTATAGTAAAATGTGTAAAGAGAGGAATGATTGGATGGGATTTGTAATCAATAAGAAAGCATAGCTTAAAATATTTGGAAAATTTTCACCCTCTCCATGTTGTAAAAAATGACAAATCATGTTTTGGAGAGACCCCCCAAGGCTATAACCAAGTTCCCATTTTATAAGGTGACTAATATGGATGAGTTGAAGCTGGGTGTTATTCAACAAGGCAATGGAAGAATGGCCTTGAAGGCATTTTCAAGATCACTGATTGCCATTTCCATCACAGTTTCAGAGTGCCAAGGCCGACGGACAGAACTATGTCAAAAGAGGAGCTTCAGTAGGACCTCAGCACTAGTTGTTCAATACTGCATCAAGTCTCTTCTCTCCACATGCTGGCTCAGCACTCTACCCCAGGTATGACTCCAGTGGGCTTTGGTGTGGTATAAGCCATAGTAGCCCCTCCTCTCGAGGGTAAAATGGTTAACTTTGGTGACATCCATCCAATGTTATCTCCACCAGAATGTAGAGTTGCAAGAGCTGTAAGGTCATGGTTGCCTCCACCTAGATTTCAAAAGATGCCCCAGAGAGTCTTGTGGCCCAAGCAGAGAACTGTCACAGGGGTGGTGCCACTATACAGAAGCCCCAATAAGGCAATTCCAAGTACAGTCATGGGGGTGGGGCTACCAGAGAACCTCCTGCTATAGAAATGCCTAGTGGAGCTGAGGCTGCCTGTGAGATCTCAGACTAGTAGTGACAATAACATGCAACCCCAGCCTAGAAGAGCTACAGGTACACAACTCCAACCCATGAGTACTGCCATGGGGAGCTGCTATGACAGCCTTTGGGGCCCAATCCCTACCCCAGTGTGTCCAGAAGGAAGGACATAAAGTAAAAAAGATAATTCTCAATAATTAATATTTAATATTGTTTTACTTTGTGATTTTGGACTTAAGTCCTGTTGCCCCCTTACTTATTTTCTATTTCTCCCTTTTGGAATGAGAATGTCTATCCTGTGCCTTTTCCGTATGAAATTTTGGAAGCACATAACCTGTTTGAGTTCACAGGCTCACAGGTGGATGGGGCTTTGCCTCAGGATGTCTGGAGGGTAATTGTATCTTGGGTCTCAACCCTATCCAATTTAGATGGATTTAGGCAAGACTATGAACTTTGGAATTTTGAGTTGATGCTAGAATGAGCTAAAACTTTTGTAATTTGGGGGATAACAATGAATGTAATTTGCATGTGAGTAGGGCACAAATTTTGTGGGGCCAGAGCCAGAATGCTATGGTCTGAATGTTTGTGTTCCTCCCAAATTTATACATTGGAACATAATTCCCAGTGTTATAGTATTAATAGGTAAGACCTTTGGTGGGTGATTAGGTCAGCAGGGCTCTGTTCTTATAAATGTGATTAGTACCTTTATTAAAAAGTACTGATGGAGATTGTTTGCTCCTTCTTCCATGTGAAGATGTAGTAAGAATGCACCATCTATGAAGCAGAGATTATGCTCTCACCAGATACCAAATCTGCCTTGATCTTAAACTTCCCAACCTCCAGAACTGTGAGTAATACATTTCTATGGCTTATAAATTACCCACACTAAAATATATTGTTATAGCACCCAGACAGACTAAGAGAATACCATAATTTGTTTATCCATTCATCTGTCAAACACTTGGGTTGCTTCCACATTTTGGTTATTGTGAATGATGCTGCTATAAACATGGGTGTACAAATGTCCCTTTGAGAACCTGCTTTCAATTGTTATGGGTATTTATTTGGAAGTGAAATTGCAGTATTATATGGTAATTTTATTTTTAATTTTTTGAAGCACCACCATACTGTTTTCCATAGCAGATGTACAATTTTACGTTATTACCAAGAGTGCACAAAGGCTCCAATGTCTCCACATAATTTCCAACAATTGTAATTTTTTTAGAGTAAAAATCCTAAGGGGTGTGAAGTGACATTACATTGTGGTTTTAATTTGCATTTCTCTAATGATTAGAAACCATTTCACGTACTTACTATTGAGTGTGGCAACTCATATATCCTGGATATTAACACCTTATCAGATATATAATCTTCAAATATTTTCTCATATTTGTGGGTTGATTTTTTCACTCTGTTGATTGTGTCCTTTGCTGTGTAGACCTCGATTTTGACGTAGTCTCATTTGTTTATTTTTGCTTTTGTTGCATATAATTTTAGTATCATATCCAAGAGATTATCACCAAGTCCAATGTCATGAAGACTTGCCCTTATGTTTTTCTGTAAGAGTTTTACAGTTTTAGCTCTTATGTTTAGTGCCTTAAACCTTAATTTTTGTATAGGTATAAGGTAAGGGTACAACTTTATTGCTTTGAATGTGTATATCCTATTTTCACAGCACCTTTTGATGACAAGAATATACTTTTCCCAACAAACAGTCTTGACATGCTTGTCAAAAATTATTTTACCATATATGTGAAGGTTATTTCTGGGCTCTGTATTTGTCTATATGTCTGTCTTTACACAAGTACCATAAACTGTTATAATTAGTGTAGTCTTATAATTGTTTTTAAAATCAGAATATGTAAGACTCCCCAACAGTTTTTTTTGAATATTCTTTTGGCTATTCAGGGTCCCTTGAGAATACATATTAATTTTAGAATGTATTTTTCCACATTTGCAAATAATACTATTGGTTTTTGATAGGGATTACATTTTATCTGTAGGTTGCTTTGGGTAGTATTGACATCTGTCTTACTCAGCTTTGTTTTCTAGAATGAAAATACATTACACTTGGCTGAATAAACAGCAAAATTTTATTTCTCACAGTTCTGGGCACTAAAAAGTTCAAGATCAAGATGCCAGCAGATTCAGTGTCTAATGAGAGCCTTCTTCTTGGTTTAGATAATGGTCTTCCAGCTGTGTCCTTACATGGTGAAAGGAACAAGGGAGCTCTCTGGGGTCTCTTGCAAAAATATTAATACCTTTTATCAGGGCTCCATTCTCATGACCTAATCACCTACCAAAGGCCCCAACTTCTAGTACCATCACTTAGGGGGTTAATATTTCCACATATAAATTTTGCATGCATACATTCAGTCCATGATAACATTTGAACAAAATTAAATGTTCCAATCCATGAACATAGGATATATATTTATTTGTGTCTCTTTTAATTTATTACAGCCATGTTTTATAATTTTTAATGTACAAGTCTTTAAACTCCTCAGTTGGATTTATTTACAAGTATTTATTTTGATGCTATTGATTGTAGAATTGTTTTCTCAGTTTCCTTTTTTGATTATTAATTGTTAGCATATAGAAATGCAATTAGGCTTGGCACGGTGGCTCACGCCTGTAATCCCAGCACTTTGGGAGGCTGAGGCGGGTGGATCATCTGAGGTCAGGAGTTCGAGACCAGCCTGGCCAACATGGTGAAACTCCATCTCTACTAAAAATACAAAAATTAGCTGGGCGTGGTGGCAGGCTCCTATAATCCCAGCTACTCGGGAGGCTGAGGCAGGAGAATCGCTTGAACCCGGGAGGCAGAGGAGGCAGTGAGCAGAGATCTTGCCATCACACTCCAGCCTGTGGGACAAGAGCGAGACTTCGTCTCAAAAAAAAAAAAAGCAATTAATGTTTTGTGTGTTTATTTTGCATCCTGAAATCTTTTGAATACATTTTAGCGGTTTTTTTTTTTATGGAATCTTCTGTGTTGTCTTTCTTTCTTTTTCTTTTTCTTTTCTTTTCCTTTTTTTTTTTTTTTTTTTTTGAGACAGAGTCTTACTCTCTTGCCCAGGCTGGAGTGCAGTGTTGCGATCTCAGCTCCCTGCAACTTCTGCCTCCCGTGTTCAAGCAATTCTCCTGCCTCAGCCACCTGAATAGTTGAGATTACAGGTGAACACCACCATGACGCCCGTCTAATTTTTGTATTTTTAGTAGAGACAGGGTTTTGCCATGTTAGCCAGGCTGGTTTTGAACTCCTGACCTCAAGTGATCCACCCACCTTGGCCTCCCAAAGTGCTGGGATTACAGGCGTGAACCACTGTGTCCAGCTCTTCTGTGTTATCTACATAAAAGATCGATAAACCGAGATATTTTTACTTCTTTCTGTCTAATTTGAATGACTTTTTTTTTTCTTGCATAATTGTTAGATCTTCCAGTACTGCATTGAATAGAGGTGGTGAAAGCAGGCATTTTTTTCTTGTAACTAATCATTGAGCATAATCTTCAGTACTTTACCATTGAGTATATTTTTAACTGTTGGCTTTTCATATATGGCCTTTATTATGTAGAGGTAGTTTATTTTTCCATTCCTACTTTGTTGGTTGTGTTTATCATAAAAAATATTGAATTTTGTCAAGTAATTTTTCCACATATATTGACAAAACTATGTGATTTAAAAATCTCAGTGTGTTAATGTGACATATTACATTGATTCATTTTTATATGTTGAACCATGTATGCATCCCAAGAATAAATCTCATTAGATCATGGTGTGCAGCCATTTTAATGTGCTGTTGAATTCTCTCTGCTAGTGTCTTATTGAAAATGTTTGCATCTATGTTAATCAAAGACCTTAGCTTGTAGGTTTGTTTTTTTTTTTTCTTGTGGTATCTTTGTCTGGCTTTAGTGTCAGAGTACTGTTGGCCTCATAGAATGAATTTGAAAGTCTTCTGTATTCAATTTTTTGAAATAATTTTAAAAGAATTGTCTTAATACTTCTACACATGTTTGGTAGAATTCACCAATGAAGCTATCAGGTCCTAGGCTTTTCTTGGTTGGGCAGTTTTAATTATTGATTCAATCTTCTTACCAGTAATAGGATTGTCCAGATTTTCTATTTTTGTTTCATTATGCTGTCCTGTAGGTTGTGTGATATAGAAATGTTTTTATTTCATCCAGGTTATCAAATTTGTTGTCGTTCAATTGTTCATAGTATTCTCTCGTAATCCCTCATGTTCCTGAAAAATTGGTTGTAATTTTCCCTTTTCTTTCTCATATTAGTTATTTGAGTCTTCTCTCTTCCTTTCTAATTAAATTTAGCTAAAAGTTTGTCAATTTTGTTATTTTCAAATAATCTACTCATGATTTTATTTATCTATTGTTTTACTATACATTGTTTTATTTATCCCTGCTGTAATCTTTCTTTTCTTCTGCTAGTTTGGGTTTGGTTTGCTCTGCTATTACCAGTCACATAAGGTGTAAATTTAGACTGTTAGTTTGATGTTGTTGATTTGTGGTCTCTCTTTTCTTAAGCTGCAAGCATTTACAGCTATAAATTTTTCTTTTACTATTTTTCCTGTATCCCATGCATTTTGGTTTGCTGTGTTTTCATTTTCATTTATTTCAAGATATTTCCAAACAATTGTAGATATTTTAGTTTTTCTCCTGCTATTAATTTCTAGTTTCATTCCATTGTGACTAGAAAATATATTTTGCAGGATTTTAATCTTAAAAATTATTTAAAACTTGTTTTGTGGCTTGACATATGGTCTACGCAGGATAGTGTTCTATGTTTACCTGACAAAAATGTGTATTCTGCTATTCTTGGCCAGAGTGTTCTACGTATGTCTGTTAAGTTTAATTGGTCTGTAGTGTTGTCCAATATTGTACTTCCTTTATTGATCTTACTACGTGGCTGTTTATTTATTTTTAAAATTAAGATTTTGAAGTAATCTATGTTATTATAGAACTCTCAATTTCTCTCTTTAATTCTGGTTATGTTTTTTTCATATAGTTAGGTGCCCTGATGTTTTGTTAGAAAGCACATGGGTAAGGTTAGTTCCATAAATAAAAATGATTTTGGCTATGATACTATTAGAAGTTAATGTGACAAGAAAATGTGTAGTTTACATAGTTTGGGTTTGTTTTAGAGTAAAGAAAAATGTACTTTTATTGTATCAATTCAGAGACATTTGCCATGTGAAACCACCTTAAAAAGATATTGGAAAACATTATTGATTGCCTTCAATTCTGACTTTGTAAAAGGTACAATAAAATTGTTCAAAGAGCTCTTTGCTTTACTGACACAGTAAAAGTTGAGAAAAGATTTATCTCTAATAACTGACACTTGATCCTAGGAAGACAGAGAGGAAATCTTCTAAGATTTATGAAAATGTAAATTGAAGAGAGGAATAAGCTCTCCCCCTCTTCATCCCTAAAAACGGATGTTACAATCTAAATCACTGCTCTACCAATAAGCTTTTCTAAAATTTCTCATAAATAAAATCAAATAAACTTTCTCCTTTTTGTTTTCTATAGATCACACATCTAATTCATTCGAGAGACTCATCAAGTTATTTAGGTATAAATTTAAAAAGAAGGCAACAAAAAAAGATTTACTTCACACAATTTAAAATTGGAATGCCATAAGGCATCTCTTTCTTACTCTAATATCAGTAGGCATTATTAAAATACAGAAATTTCAAAGTAACAGATACATAGGATGGACAAGTCTAGAGATTTTATGTACAACATGAGAACTATGGCTCACAATAGTATTATATTTGAGATTCCTGGTAGATAAGTATATTTTTAAACTCTTTATTATCTATATTATACATATTGCATAACATCATGTTGATATCTTAATTATACACAGTAAAATTTATTTCTGAAGAGGATATTTAAAAAATACAGAAATTGATATCAAGATAATAAAACTGTTTGCCTATGAAATTTATATTTATGGAGTAAAAGATGAATTAGTCCTATAAATAGCTTTTTACTGCTTTTAGATTTACTGTGTAAGTAAGCATCTTATAACCTATATTAGTCTTTGTATTTTTACACTAGACTTTTTTTTTAAACAGGCATTATATGACTAATTCCTCTTTTCTTTTACAGTTATGAACATTACAAATTTCACAGAAATACTCAACATAATCTTAGGGAAGATAATTTCTAGAAATATTTTTAAGTGATAAGGATTTAATTTTATTTCTATGACCTGTATTTATACTTAATAATTTTGTACCTTATAGTTTCTAAATAATAAGGCTTGCCAGCCTTTTGCATTTCAATAGTAAAATTTCTTAGAAAGCTGAATTAATGAAGAATCACTGTTTTTCTGGAATTAGTACTGGTTCATTTGCCCATATAGTAGTGAGAGGTGACAACGTGCTAGCAGCCCTCGCTCGCTCTGGGCGCCTCCTCGGCCTTGGCATTTTCTCTGGCCATGCTTGAGGAGCCCTTCAGCCCACCACTGCACTGTGTGGGAGCCCCTCTCTGGGCTGGCTGAGGCCAGAACAGGCTCCCTCTGCTTGTGAGGAGGTATGGAGGGAGAGGGGCAGTCAGGAACCAGGGCTATGCATGGCACTCGCGGGTCAGCACGAGTTCCGGGTGGGTGCAGGCTTGGTGGGCCCCGCACTCAGTGTGGCCAGCTGGCACCGCCAGCCCTGGGCAGTGAGGGGCTTAGCACCCGGGCCCGCAGCTGTGAAGGGTGCTCTGGGTCCCTCAACACTGCCGGCCCGCCTGTGCCACACTCGAATTCTCACCGGGCCTCAACCACCTCCCTGCAGGGCAGGGCTCAGGACCTGAAGCCCACCATGCCCAAGCCCTCCCCTGCCCAACCATGGGCTCACATGCAGACTGATCCACCCCAACGGGTGCTGCCCCCGATCTGTGGTGTCTGGTCCCATCAACCTCCCAAGGGCTGAGAACTGCGGGCACGTGGCATGGGACTGGCTGACAGCTCCACCTGCGGCCCTGGCACAGTACCCACTAGGCGATGCCAGCTGGGCTCCTGAGTCCAGTGGGGACTTGGAGAGCTTTTATGTCTAGCTAGAGGATTGCAAATACACCAATCAGCACTCTGTTTCTAGCTCAGGGATTGTAAATGCACCAATCAGCACTATGTCAAAATGGACCAATCAGCTCTCTGTAAAACAGACCAATCAGCTCTCAGTAAAATGGACCAATCAGTAGGATGTAGGTGGGGCCTGATAAGGAAATACTAATCTCAGTGCTTGGAACTTGAGTTTCAGCAAGCCTTGCCACTGTGGCATAAAGTGCACTGGGTCCTAAAGTAAACTTGAAAGGCAATCTAGGGCACAAGGATGGCAACTCCTAGGTGAGTCCTAGCGCTGAACTAGGTTCAGAGCCAGTGCACTTGGAGGACACATGGTCTACTAAGACACCAGCCAGAGTGGCAAATGGAGTGTTTGCACCACCTCTATCACAACCCTAGGCTTCAAAGCTCACAGCTCCAAAAGAGACCTTTATCTTCTGCTTGAGGAGAGGAGAGGGAAGAGTAAAGAATTAATCTGCACTATACACCAAATGGACTTAATAGATAGTTGTAGAACACTTTATCCAATGGCTGCAGAATATGCATTTTTTCCTTCAGTGCATGGATAATTCTCAAGGATATACCATAAATCAGGTTTATAAACAAGTCTTAAAACACTCAAAAACTTTGAAATGATATCAAGCATCTTTTCTGACTACAATGGAATAAAAAATAAAACTAGAAGTCAATAACAAGAGAAGTTTTGGAAACTATACAAATGTGAAAATTAGACAATATGTTCCTGAATAACCAGCAGGTCAATGAACAAGCTAACAGTGCATCTTAAAGAACTAGAGAAGAAAAGAAAAACAAACCCAAAATTAGTAGAAGAAAATGAGAGAAATAAAGATCAGAGCAGAAATAAATGAAATTAAAATGAAAACAATATAAAAGATCAACAAAACAAAATGTTGGTTTTTGAAGATAATCAAAATTAACTAAACTTTAGACAGAATAAGAAAATATATAGAAAACCCAAATTTAAAAAATCAGAGACAGGAGATATTACAACTGATACTGGAGAAATCCAAAAGATTATTAGTGGCTACTGTGAGCAATTATATGACAATAAATTGGAAAATCTAGAAGAAATGGCTAAGTTATTTGACACATATAAGCTAGCAAGATTGAATCATGAAGAAATCACAAACCTGAACAAATCAATAAGAAGGAACAAGATAGAAGCCATAATAAAAAGTTTCCCAGCAGATAAAAGGCCAGGATTCAATGACTTCACTGCTAATTTCTACCACACACTTAAAAAAGAACTAACACCAATTATACTCAAACAATTCAAAAAATTGACGAGGAAGAAATACCTCCAAACTCATTCTACAAGGCCAGTTATACCTTGATACCAAAACTGGATAAAGAAACATAGGAGGAAAAAAACACCGGAAAATGCAGGCCATTATTTCTGATGAATATTGATGCATATACTCTCAACAAAATACTAGCAAACCAAATTCAACTATACATTAGAAAGATCATTCATCATGACCAAATGGGATTAATCCTTGGGATGCAAGGATGACTCAACATACACAAATCAATCAATGTGATACATCCAATCAACAAAAAGAAAGGCAAAAAACATATGACCATTTCAGTTGATGCTGAAAAAGCATGTGCTAAAATTAACATTCCTTTAGCATAATATCCCGCAGAAACTTTGGTTTAGAAGGAACATACCTCCATCTAGTAAAAGCTATATGTTAAAAACCCTTAGCTAGTATCATACTAAATTGGAAAAAAGGAAGCTTTTCCTCTGAGATCTGGATCATTACAAGGTTGCCCATTTTCACCACTCTTATTCAACATAGCACTGGAAGTCCTATCTACAGCAATCAGACAAAAGAAAGAAATAAAAGACATTTAATTTGGAAAGGAAGAAGTTAAATTATCTTTACATGCAGACAATATAATATTAGGCTTGAACAAAACCTAAAAAGTCCACCAAAAAATATTAGAGCTTATAAACAAATTCAGTAAAGTTACAGGATACAAAATCAACATACAGAAATCAGTAGCATTTCTATATGTTGACAGTAAGCAATCTGAAAAAAAAATCAAGAAAGTAATTCCATTACAATAGCTGCAAATAAAATACCTAGGAATTAAACAAAAAAGTGGAAGATCTCTACAAAAAAACTATAAAACATTGATGCAAGAGATTGAAGAGGACACAAAATATGGAAAGATATTCCATGTTTCCACATGGAAATATGAAAACCATAAAACACCCAGAATATCCTAAGCAAAAAGAACAAAACAAGAGGAGTCACATTACCTGAGTTCAAATTATACTACAGAACTAAAGTAACCAAAACGACATGGTCCTGGCATAAAAACAGACGTATACTTCAGTAGAACAGAATAGAGAACCCAGAGATAATTCATACATCTACAGTGAACTCAATTTTGACAAGTTTTCCAAGATGAGAAAAGGATGATATCTTCAATAAATGGTGCTATGAAAACTAGATATCCATATGCAAAAGAATGAAACTAGATGCGTATATACAAAAATCAAACCAAAATGGATCAAAGACTTAACTCTAAGACCTCACACTACGTTACTAGTAGAAGAAAACATTGGGAAATATCTCCAGGACATTTATCTTGTTAACAATTTCTTGAGTAATACAGCAGAAGCACAGGCACCCAAAGCAGAAATGGATAAAAATGCACATGTACCCTAAAACTTAAAGTATAATAATAATAAAATAAAATAAAATAAAAATGGGATCACATCAAGTAAAAACCTTCTGCATAGCAAAGGAAACAATCAACAAAGTGAAGAGGGGTAGAAATATTTACAAACTACCCATCTGACAAGGGATTTATAACCAGTACATGAAAGGAGCTAAAACAAATATATAGTAAAAAATCTAATAATCCTATTTAAAAAATAGGCAAAAAGATATGAATAGACATTTCTTAAAAGAAGACACACAAATGGCAAACAGGCATATGACAAGGTACTCCACATCACTGATCATCGGAGAAATGCAAATCAAAACTACAATGACGTATTATCTCACCTCAGTTAAAATGGCTTATATCCAAAAGACAGGCAATAACAAATGCTGGCCAGGATGTGGAGAAAAGGGAACCCATGAAGACTGTTGATGGGAAGGTAAATTAATACAACCACTATGGAGAACAGGTTGGAGGTTCCTCAAAATTCTAAAAATAGAACTACCATATGATCTACCAATCCTACTGCTGGGTATGTACCCAAAAGTAAGAAAATCAGTATATCCAAGAGATATCTATACTGCCATGTTTATTTCAGCAATCATCACAGTAACTAAGATCTGGAAGCAATTTAAGTGTCCATCAACAGATGACTGCATAAAGAAAATGTAGTACTTACGCAAAATGTAGTACTATTTAGCCATGAAACATGAGATTCTGTCAGTTGCAACAACGTGGGTGTAACTGGAGGTTATTATGTTAAGTAAAATAAACAAGGGACAGAAAGACAAATTCATGCTTTCTCACTTATTTGTGGGAGCTGAAAATTAAATAATTTAACTCACGGAAGTAGACAGTAGATGGATGATTACCAGAGCCTGGGAAGTTAGTGGGGGTGAAGGGGCAAGTGAGTATTATTAATGGCTCCAAAATATAGTTAGAAAAATGAATAAGACCTAGTGTTTCCTATCACAAATAATAAGTTTTTGCTAGAATATCATATGAGAAAAGAATATAGAAGGGTTTTAACTGAAGTTCTTAAGAGATCATACAAGGTATAATCATACAGAAAGAACTTGTTGACTAAGACACTAAAGGATTTATTCTGTGTCCTAACTATAGAAAGAAGAAAGAGGAAAACATTCAATAAATTATTAACTTCAACTATAGAGACTGAAAAATCTTGCTTCATTTGCAACCATTATAAAGGATAAAAAACTTCAGAATAAATTATGGTTTTAACTGTTACTGTTGTATCAAACTACTCTTACTGAGGCTTGGTTATTGATTGGTTGTGTGGTATTGAAAAATCATGTTTTTCTCCCATTATGTTAAATGTAGTCAGATCTATTATTTGCCATGAAATTTGTTGATTTTCAAATGCATTATTTTTCCACATACAGCTGTAGCTTATTCCTTAGTATTCGTCTTCATCCTCAAGTATTAAGAATCAAGACTAATAGTTTAAGTAAACAGATTATTGGTAAGGTAGAGAAAATAGGTAGTCAAGGTATCTGTAACCTCAGGAGAGCAAATGAAATATGGCCTAACACACTGTAAAATAAACCAACTTGCCTAAACTTAAGCTTCCCCTGGGGATCTTGTTAATAATAAAAATTCCCACCCAATTTATTCCCTAAAGATTTTGATTCTGCTGGTCTAGGGTTTGGCTAAAAAAAAAAATCAATGTTTTCAATAAATGTTACCAGTGATTTTAAAAATCAGGCACATTTGAGGAATACTCCTTTAGCAAACTGAGCATTGCACTATAAAAAAACAGCCTGAGGCTTTGAAGTCTCCTGGCAAACAGGGTTTCCAGTCTCAGATCTATTACTCGCTAGCTAGATAGCTGGACAAGTTCTTTGAATACTTTAATCCTTGATTTCCACATTTATAAAATGAGGATAAAAGCACTTATTGCATAAAATATGAATGTGTGTTTATGTGTGTGAAGATTAAATGAATTAATATATAGAATATCCTAGCACATGTAAGAATGTTAACAATCACTAGTCTACTCAACCTCATACTTTATTCAAACATGTATATTAACCTTAATGAATGATAGTGTTTTATTTCTTAACTTTAAGGAGTATCTTCACACTTTTCACTTGCTTTGTTAAAAAAATATATATATATATATATCATCGGTCACTTCATGCATCTATGTACCAAGTAACCAAGATGCAGGTGAAAATGTCACAGATCCTGCCTGAGGCAACAATTTGGTGAAAAGAAAATAAGATAACAAGAAAAAAATAAAATGCAGTGTGAGAGGTTGTATAGTACAGTACAAATGAATTCAGTAGCGTAGGGAAAGGTAAACTTTTTAAAAATTCAGTGAAAAGGGGAGGAAGTAGGAATAGAAATAAGAATGATAATTTAGTAACTAAGAAAGTCAGGAAAAAAGGTTGGGCGTGGTGGCTCATGCCTGTAATCCCAGCACTTTGGGAGGCCAAGGAGGGCGGATCACGAGGTCAAGAGATTGACACCATCCTGGCCAACATGGTGAAACCCCATCTCTAATAAAAATACAAAAACTAGCTGGGCATGGTGGTTCATGCCTGTAGTTCCAGCTACTTGGGAGGCTGAGGCAGGAGAATCACTTGAACCCGGGAGGAGGAGTTTGCAGTGAGCCAAGATCACGCCACTGCACTCCAGCCTGGCAACAGAGTGAGATTCCATCTCAAAAAATAAATAAATTAAATAAATAAATAAAAATAAAGAAAGTCAGGAAAAAAGAAAGAGATCCAATTCTTTGGTTCATGTACATTTTACTCTCAAATACTGCTTTCCAAAAGCATGAACATTGATCACTAAGCTTATATCACTGGATTAACCACATGAAAATTAAAAAATGAAATATTTTTAGAGGCGTTGAATGGAAAACACCTGAATATTCCTTATTCACTCATTTAATAAATATGTGGGAAGCATCTACAATGTAAAGATCAAGAACTCAGTTTATCTTTAATTTTCAATCCATGTCATTTTTTGTCCTCTAACCAATAAAATATGTCTCTAAGTGAAGTTAACAGAAGGGTACAGATTTTTTTTATCATTGTGAAGCATTACATTAACAATAAGTATAATGTAAATGTCATTACTTAAAACATACCTTTGTAGTGTGTTTTTATTTTAATTTTACGGTCATTGGCAGATTCCCCATTTTTAGGCATGTCAGCTTTTTCTTTTTTTTAACATTACAACTTCCAGTGAAACAGAGAACTACTGTGTCTTAAAATTAGTGTTGTCTTAATTGCCTTTTCAAAATCATTTTTGTTAATTGCCACCAGAACTAGAGTGTACTTTATTTTTAATTATTCTTTCTTTTATTTTTAATTATTCTTTCTTTCTAACCCTCCACAGAGTCCCCAAAGTCAGCTTGAAACTTAAATGAAAAACTCAGATTGGTTACATTTTATCAACAACCTTACTGATATAGTTTGGATATTTGTTCCTGCCCAAATGTCATGTTGAATTGTAATCCCTGGTGCTGGCGATGGGGTCTGGTGGGAGGTGGGTGGATCGCTCAAGTCTTGGCGCTGACTTCAGGACAGTGAGTGAGTTCTTCAGAGAGCTGGTTGTTTAAAAGTGTGTGACACCACCCTACTCTCTTTCTCCCTCTCTCTCTGTCTCACTCCTGCTCTGACCATGTGATGTGCCTGCTCCCCCTTCACCTTCTGCCATGAATGTAAACTTCCTGAGGCCTCATCAGAAGCCAAGCAGATGTGTGGTGCCATGCTTCCTGTACAGCCTGCAGAACCTTGAGTCAATTAAGCCCTTTTTCTTTATGAATTACCCAGTCTCAGTTATTTCTTTGTAGAAATACAAGAATGGCCTAATACACTCACTTATTGAAGAGTCACTCTATTAGTCCACAGATGTCGAGGCAACATAAGACATTATCCGTCATAGTAACTCTCCATAACCACACGTTATTTGCATGCAAAACATGCTTCCCTGTTGAGACCATGAAACTAAACACATTTTTTTTTAGAAAAAACACTGTTTTAAGCAATGACAGAACTATTCCTTTTTATATTTTCTTCTCACAAATTACTAAATTTTCCTTTATGTGGTAATAATAGGAGGGACTATCCGAAGTTGTAGAACAATTAGTAAGAAAACAGTTTTGCAGAACACAGTGTTAAAATACAATAATCTCAGTGTTTTTTTTTACCAATAAGACATTTGACACAACAATAATATTATTAGTTTTGCATAATGTCCTTTAAAGAATAGAAAGAGCTTATGTCAAGTGTGTTAAAGCCGTTATTTTAATATGTAGCATAGAAAACCCTTTCATTGTCCTTATTTAAAGGTTTAGATATTTTCATTATTGCCTGAAAACCCTTTCATAATAGATACCCACACTCTCATAATAGTTCAAACCCATTGTTTCTCTATAGGTGTATCTATTCATATAACCAGAGAAGCAATTGTTAATAATATTTATACCATTTTAAAGATCAATTTCACTACAATGAACTGAAATCTAAGAAGTTGATCTAAAACCATTGTCTTAACTCACTTGCTATATTTTTGAAATATTTCTGAAAACAATTAAGACTGTTTAGTTACAAACTACTATTTTTTTCAGTGACCCTATTGAATTGAGGTTATCCAATCATGCTCTCTAGAGATTCTCTCTAGAAGTGCATTTCCATTACACTAGTGGAATAGAAATTGAAGTTATATGTATGCATGTGCGTGTATGTGTGAGAAGATGTGACAGAGACAAAGAAGGAGAGAGAACAATAGAGAAGAATAAACTAGAAAAGGCTCTTATGTATATCATGCATTAATAAAATGAATGTGTTATCTAAGTTTATATCTTATATTGTGATAAGTAGAAACGCATAAACTCTACTTACATGGATATATTGATACAAAGTAAATGCATAAGAGAATTAAGACAGATAAAAATCAATAAATTACACTTATCCTTAAGATTTGACATTGAAAAAATATATGCTTGTCTTACTTTAACAGTAAAGAATATGTAAGTTGTTACACAAATCCTCCTCAAAAAATTTGTTCACAACTTCTATGATTAATGTAAAATGAACTACAGTATCTTGTATTTGATAGGTGAGAGAAATTTTAATTTTCTGATGGCAGTCTTACATCATCTGAGTGACTGAACTAGCAAAAACAGTAGCAACAGCAATACTCACCACTAAATCAAGGTAAGTGGAGTGCTGCTTAGAAACCACACAGAAAACATATGCATTTTGAAACATTACATATACTTACTCTCAGATCGATTTGCTTGTTTTATCTGTTGTGTTAAACAGAAATATTTCAAATAGTTCCTAACAAGATAATTGTACTTTCCACTTTCAGCATGTTTAAAATGAGAACACATGGACACAGGAAAGGGAACATCACACACTGGGGCCTGTTGTGGGGTGGGGGGAGTGGGGAGGGATAGCATTAGGAGATACACCTAATGCTAAATGACGAGTTAATGGGTGCAGCACACCAACATGGCACATGTATACATATGTAACAAACCTGCACGTTGTGCACATGTACCCTAAAACTTTAAGTATAATAATAATACAATTTAAAAAAAATGAAAATTCCAAGTGTTTTACAAATATAAACACATTAATGTTCTTGTGTTCCTGTTAAGTTAGTGAAAAAATGGAAGGCACACTTTTTCCCTCCAGAACATAAAATTTAGGCACCTTCCCCTGGCTTGTACTAGAATATAAATGGTAAATTTCTTTTCAAGAAAAGTAATTATATTTCTCCTCTTTGGTCTCTTTTTTTGGAGTCCTTTTAAATTATATTCAATGATTTTCATCTAGTTCTTTCTTTATGATAAAAAATTAATTACAAGTGATAGGAGTATGGAAAAGTGATAAATATATTTTATAAGTTTTTCTTGTTTCTACAAAAGAAAATGCATCCCAAAGATACATAATCTCTGCAGATCCCTTCTCATATCACTTAAACCTTTGACAGACCATCACATATTTTCATATAATTTTGCTCTCAGTGAGCTGAAAGTAAATAATTATTTATAAGATCTTTATAAAGCAGTTACAGTGAATCATTCTATTTTCACTAGACAAATAATAATGCAACAGGTGTGGTGCGTTATCAACTATAGGGTTGGAATCCAACAACCCATGCTCCGATTGTGTTTTACAAAACAGTGTTCTATTATCTCTTGATCATGTGGCCCCACGTTAGTCTGTTTCCTCAGTTTTTCTGAAAACATTTAAAATATTAAGTCAAAAATGTCACAGTTTTCATGTTACTTGATAAAATTACTAGTTTTGTGTAGATAGCTTAACTATTTCTGGCCTTAAGGGCTTTCTTTTATACACCATAGCTTCTTTTTTAAAATTTAAATGAAAATAAAATAGAAAAGAATTCCAAGCAGATAATCTGATTCAACACTGACAGAAATGTTGGGGGAGAAAGTGCCATGGGTGGATTTTGTCTGGATACCTATGTCTATTCTCAGCCTTGGCCAAACCACTTGAACATCTTCAGGTCTCAGTATCAATGTGATGCTATAGCAAATCAATGTGCTGCTATAGCAAAGAGCCCTTGCATCTTGTGCTAGGTATTTGTTTTAATTCAAGTTCTTTGTGGTTAGAGGAAGCCCCACTAGGAGACATAGCAGTCTAGATCTCACTTAGGTCAAAGGTGTAAGAGTAGGCAGCAGAGTTTGCAGAGTAGAGAATGGTGAATTAAGTAGAGTTGAGAGGTACTCAATGAAATTGAGAATGTAGAAATTCAACCAATATTTTTGAACACTTAGAAAGTGTACAAAATCCTGTGTTGAGTGCAATAAGAATATAATGATGAATCAGGCTGGTTCCTGACATTCAGATCCATGTTTGTAATTAGGAGACACAACAAAAAATGTACTGAAATAATAACAAGGTAGAACAATATTAATGTCATAGCGTGAAAAATTAAATTGAAACAGTAGTTCAGGAGAAAAGAGATTTTATTCTTGCTGGAAGGGCAAAGGAGGATTTCAATAAAGAAACTGATTTTAGCTACACCTTAAAAGATAACTAAAATATTGTGAGTTGTTCAAGAGAGTTGGAAAAATTATGGGCATTCCAGATAGAGAGAAGTGTATTAGGAAAGAAAGTTGGCAGGCTGTGAAGAACCTGTAAAAGTTGGAACTAAATTGAAAACATTAAGCCGAATTCAGAAAACATGATGTTAATGAAAATATACTATAGGATTTCTGTGTATGTGTCACAGAGCATACGAGGAAGTTAAGTTCGATAAGAAATAGGAGAGATAATCAGTCCCCCACAAATGAAATAAATGTCTTTGAGCTGAGTGGCTTTTTGGCAAGCTTTCCAAAATAATCTATTTTGTATACCCATAACTTTCTCTCTGGGATGGATACATATTAGAGAAAAGATGGATGTGAGACTGGAGTAGGTTCAGCATCTAGCCAAGAAAACCAGGAGGCAAAAGAAGGGCTAACACATAGTGAGCTCCAACTTGTTTCAACCCTAGCCATACTAATTCCTGTTTTGTGCTTGGACTACAAAGTCCTGCCACCCCTACAACACACTCAGAGTTCTCATGAACTCTGAAACTACAAAGTGTTTCAATAGGGCTTTGGAGAAGAATAAAGCTTCGTGTAATAATAAAGTTATTACATGGATTGGCCTTTGTCTCTAAGTTTTTGATTTTGCGCAAGTGCAACTTTTTTTCTAAATGATACCAAAGCCTAAACTTCCTTAGCAAGCATATTTACTGGGTTTGGTCTCATTCCACAGTGAGTAAAACATGATCAGTGGTGGTGTTTGGAAACCAATAGGGATAATTTTTATACCTTGGGAGAGAATCTCAAGAAGACAATTTAGTCAGCCCAAAAGAGTCCCTACAAGGACAACGCAGAGTGGCTTTAACATTTTTCAGAACACTGTAAGAGTACAACCACTAAGATTCTCTAGTGATTTCACAAATACTTTGTTACTAACTCTACCAGCTACTAAAATGTGTGTTATTCTTCAAACAAGGCTTGGATTTTTCTTTTAAAATACTCTACAATATTTAGACCAGAAATACAACAAAAATACTGATATAATCCACAGGCAATACTACACTTCCCCCTTATCCATGGTTTTGCTTTCCATAGATTCAGCTATCTGCCATCAACTGTGGTCCAAAAATACAAAATGCAAAATTCCATAAACAATTCATAAGTTTTAAATTGTCATGCCATTCTGAGTAGCATGATAACATTGATGCTGTTTCACTCTCTCATGCCCAGAGATTATTTCTTTGTCCAACATATCCATGGTGGCTATGCTAGAGCCCATTAGTCACTTAATAGCAGCCTTGGTTATCATATAAATAAAACAGTGTAACAGGCTTTGATGCTATCTGCTGTTTCAGGCATCCATCAGGGGTTCTTGGAACATATCCCCTGTAGGTAAGGGGGAAATACTGTATATGATGTGTTATAAGGGCTTTCCTGCAGTGCTGCAGGGTGGTAGAGTGTATTGGGGTTGTGAAGTGGAATTAACCTTGATTTGTAGCCCAATGTGACCACTAACAACTAAAGTAATTAAATTTGATTATTATTTCACTTTTCTTACTGTCATTTTTCCTGTCTAAAAAAATTGAAATAATTTTTTATTTCCTCTGGTTTTTTGCAAGACTTAAGTGAGATAATATGTGTGAATTACCTGGCACAATGCCTGGCATAGAGTATGTATTCATTTGGAAAACTGTGTCTGTATATTGAAATGAAGGCATTAAGAAGTGTCTCTGAGCAGCCAGTCCAATAAACAGAATTCAAATAAAAAATATTTTATTGCATCTAACCATGTTTTTGAGCCTATGTGTTATTATTATTATTCCAGGAAATATTCTTTTACATATGGGGAAGGAAACTTTTTTATGGCCAAAGCTGCCAGAACGTAAACTCTATAATAAGCACAGACATAAACTGTCTTGCTTGCTGTTGTATCCTGGAGTCCTAAGAGAGTATCTGGGACTTCAACCAATATTTACTCAATGAAAGGAATTGACATCCATTTAGGGAAACCACTAACCCAGAGATGTTAAATACATTTTAAACATGTGGTTTCTTGAGGTCATTTCCTTTGCAGGACATGGAAGGAACGTCAGGCCATTATCCTTAACATTATCCTTAACAACTAACACAGGAACAGAAAACCAAATACCACATGTTCTCTCTCATAAGTGGGAGCTAAATGATGAGAACTCACAGACACATAGAGGGGAACAACACACACTGGGGCCTATCGGAGGGTGGAAGGTGGGAGGAGGGATAGGATCAGGAAAAATAACTAATGGATACCAGACTCAATACCTGGGTGATGAAATACCCTGTACAACAAACCCCATGACACACATTTACCTATGTAACAAACCTGCACATTCTGCACACATACCCCTGAACTTAAAAGTTAAAAACAAAAATATGGTTCTTCAAAAAACAGTCTTGATTCCTTGTGAGATAGTCTAAAAACTGCATTCTTAAGTATGAAAGTCTCCCTTCTCAAAAGCCAAGCTTCAATCCAGTCCCCAAAGAACCCAAGAGAAGCAATCTGTCAACAACCTGAAGTTAACTTTGGAATAACTTTAGATATGTGTACACATCAGAAAGTCATTGTCATTATGATGTTGTGTGTGTGCAGAAAGAACAAAACAAATTCTTAAGAAAGAATAGTGCATATATGATCTTAAACATTTATATTACTAAAACATAAATCAAAACTGTATTTTTAGTAGTTGTCCCAGGGCATTAAGCTGATTACAATATGGAGACCTCTAAATTAAACTGTAACACACATTTCATTTTATTTTTCAGTGCATCGCTGCCCATATTCAAATTTTCATATAATAAATCTAATGAGGAAATCTATGTATGAAACACTAGCATTTTATGTTTTATGTCAGAACTTTATTTCACCGCAGTAAAAGTTACACAGATTTGAACTTGATGTTTCCTACATTAAAACAATCAAATATTTTAATGTGATTCATGTACATGTGTAAATCACACACACTCTCTCTTGCCAACATATTTTCCTGGAAACGCCCCAACTGTGATTAAAGCCATCTTTCCCTCTAATTTATGCCTACATATATGAGCTGATAAACAGAAAAAAACTCAAACCACCCAGACTCGACTCACTTTAAATTTATGGCTGTAAGCTTAAAAAAAAAAAATACTAATTTAAATATTGGTTCAGAACCATAAAGTAGTTAATTTCCTAACAGGATTTAACTTGAACAGATAAAATTTTAGCTAAATGTTTCTTCTCTTCATGAAATTTCATAATTCCAATATACATATTGTTTACGTTAATCACTTTTGCAATATTCATACAAGCAGCAAATCCCAATAAGATTTTCTTTTCTTATACAAACATAAGACATGTAAAGGAACCTCTAACATAATAAAAATGACAACTGAGACCTTTCTTTAATTTAAGGAGCCTAGGAGATTGGATATGTTTTACACACAGGAATATTAGGAATTCTGCTGTTCTTATTAAGCTACAAGCCAGGTTCAGGATGGGAGTCTATAATCTTACAGATCTCCAGGTATCATGAAGTTATATTCTGCACCATGCAGTCTATGCTATTATTTTTTAATCCTTACTTATATTTTATTACATTATATTTGCATTATAATATTTAAATTGTTAAATTATAATATTAAATTATTAAATTACAATATTAAATTATTAAATTATAATATTTAAATTATTGCATTATATTTACATTATAAAATTACACTTTTAATTATAAAATTTAAATTTAAAAAGTACACTTATAGGCTGGGTGCAGTGGCTCACTCCTGTAATCCCAGCACTTTGAGAGGCCAAGGTGGGTGGATTATGATGTCAGGAGATTGAGACCATCCTGGTTGACATGGTGAAACCCCATCTCTACTAAAAATACAAAAAAATTAGCCAGGCGTGTTGGCGGGCACCTGTAGTCCCAGCTACTTGGGAGACTGAGGCAGGAGAATGGCATGAACCTGGGAGGCGGAGCTTGCAGTGAGCAGAGATCGTGCCACTGCACTCCAGCCTGGACGACAGAGCAAGACTCCATCTCAAAAAAAAAAAGTACACTTATATACTTATATTTTATTATGTTATTATGATATAATTCAGGCATACCAAAAATTTAGACAATAATATAATTAAGACACACTTCTATTTAAGCCAGGTTAAAGTATAAAGGAGACCATTACATTATATTTGAATTGTAACATACTTTGAGCCTATGAATGTTGTTTTGTGTGAGATTGGTCTCTTGAAGACAGCAGTTGGATTGGTCTTGTTTTTTTTTTTTTTAATTCAACTTGCCCCTCTCTGCTTTTGAAGTTGGCTATTTAGACCATTTGCATTCAAGGTTAATATTGATATGTGAGGTTTTGATCCTATCGTAAAGTAGTTAGCTGATTTCTTTGTAGTTTCTATTGTGTGGTTGCTTTAGAGGGTCTATGGGCTATGTACTTAAATGTGTTATTGTGGTCACAGGCATCATTCTTTCATTTCCATATTTAGAAATCCCTTAATAATCTCTTCTAATGTTGGTCTAGGGGTAATAAATTCCCTTAGAACTTGTTTATCTGAAAAGATTTTATTTCTCCTTCATTTTTGAAGCTTAGTTTGCTGGGATATTAAATTCTTCGTAGGAATTTCTTTACTTGAATATTGCTAGAAATAGATCCCCAGTCTCTCCTGGCTTATAAGATTTCTGCTGAGAACTTCACATGTAACCTGATGGAGATGCCTTTGTACATGATCTGATCTTTTTCTTTAGTTGGCCTTAATATTTTTTCTGTAGCATTTATTTTGGACAGTCTGGTGACTCTGTGCCTTGGCCATGTTCATTTTTATAGTATCTCACAGGTGTTCTCTGGATTTCTTTTTTATTTGGATGTCTGCCTCTCTAGCAAGATTAGAGGGATTTGCTTGAATTATTTCCTCAAATATGTTTTCCAGGTGGTTTGCTTTTTTTCCCTTCTCTCAGGAATGCCATTAATTCATAGGTTTGGTCACTTTATATAATCCTGTATTTCTTGAAGAAATTTTTATTTCTTAAAATTCTTTTTTCTTTATTTCCGTGTAACTGGGTTAACTTGAAGGACCAGTCATCCAGCTCTGAAATTCTTTCTTTTGTTCTTTCTAGATTATTGATAAAGCTTTCAATTGCATTTTAAATTCTTAGGAGAGGTTTTTCTATTCCAGAAGCTCTGATTGATTTTTAAGATGTCTATCTCTTTCTTCATTTCATGGATTGCTTTAGAAGTTTGTGTTAATTTTTAACCTTGTCTTGGATCTCATTGAGCTTTCTTGCAATCCATGCTTTGAATTATTTATCTGTAATTTGTGAATTTCCCTTTTTGTTAGATTCCATTGCTAGAGAGCTAGTGTGATCCTTTGATGGTGTCATCACATTCAGATTTTTTACAGTGTTAGAATTTTTGTGCTGGTTCCTTCTCATCTGGAGATGGTGGCACATTAAATTTTTGTAATTATTTTAATGCTGGTAGGATTTTTTTCTTTTTATTTCTTCCCCTATAACAATATTTTTCCCATTCCCTTTTCTCCCCTCCCTAGGGGTACAACTGTAGAGAATGCTGGGTAGTGTCCTTTGGCTTTGCCTCTATAGCCCCATGCACTTCTTTTGGCAGGTTTTATATTGGTCTGTGCAGTTCAATGTACCAGCCAGCAGAGAGTACTTATAGGGGTAAGAGCTGGCTGCAGCCAACGCAGTTCTGTATACATTATTGTTTACTGGCAGAAGCTCTCTGTTGCCTCAGGCAATTGGCTGATTACTAGAATGTTTAGTGAACTGAGCCCTCTGCAGAACCCTGCATTGTTGTGGACAGTGATAAATGGGGCCAGACTGGGCAGTTCTGCCTACAGGTCCCCTGATGGCAGCCACAAGCACTTTCAGTGAGAGAAAATCCCATGGGTCACCACCAAGCACTCAGAGATGTGCCTAGGCATGGAGCTGAGGAACCTCCTCAGCCCCAAAATCTCTGCACATTAATGAGAGGTGGCCTAATCTCCTAATACAGGAGAGTGTGTTCTTCAGATGCCAAGAAGTCTTCCTTGGCTTGAAGTAGAGTGGGTCCCCTGCACCAAGATGTCTGCACAGGAGAGGTGGGGCAACTCAGGCTGCTGAACCAGACTAGCAGGTGCTCTGAATTCCTGGAAATCTGCCTGAGCTTGTAAAAGTGAGCTCCACTCCCACAACCCCCACCTGCACAAGGATCTCTGCACAGGAAGGGTGGGGAAGTTCAGGCTGCTCATCCAGCTGAGCTGATGTTCCAAATACCTGAATATCTGCTTTGGTAGTGGAGCAGACAGGTCCTTTCTCCTCCACAATCTATGTTCAGAAAGAGTAAGGACTAAGAGCAGGATGCCACTTGGCTGCTGAACCAGACAAGAGGATGCTCCAAATGCCTAGATTTCTGTCTGGAGTTGGAGCAAAGAGGGCCTTGCTACACAAGATGTCAGGAGTGCAGGCTGGGGCATCCAGCAATAGCACATATGGACCAGTTCTAGGTCACCAAGCTGGCCCTGACTGCAGTCCTTGCCATCCAGGAGAAACTGCAGCTGTAGCAGCTCTCCTCCTGCCCCAGGATTGTGACTGGGGAGAGCATAATCCCAGCATCTACTGCTGCTTTCCATAGCTCTGGCTAAGGAGGCCCTTACCCCACTCCAGAGAGAGAACTCCAGTCTTTGGCCTGACACTGAAATGCCTGCATGGCCATGTTTGTGGGTCACCAAAGAATGGCTGACTATGCACCTTGATTAAAAGTGGCATCCTGCTCTCAGTCCCATGTTTGAGAAAATACCTGAAGCTTTTCCTGGTATCTTTTCCTCACAGTATCTCCAAGCCTATCCTCAAGTTGCTGCCAGGGCTTGGGAGAAACAAAGTGCTCTCCTTCAGCCTTGGTTGCTCAAATGTCCAGGGAAAAGGTGAGTCACCGAGGGAGGCTCTCTCCCTCTTTCACATACTGGGGCTTCACTCACTTGTATCAGCCAGATACCATCACAGGGGCTGTTTACTAGCGTTCTTCTTGGGATCTGTGGTGTCCTGTATGATTCTAGTGGATTCCAATTTTTTTCTTCTCAAAGAAGAGTTCATCTTTATGCACTATCTTGCTATCTCCAAGTGCCTAAAGCATGCTAAAAGCCTCTAATTAGTTATTTAGAGAAAAAAGAACGTTATATTTTAAATTTGATCTTTTTGTTCTTTTAAAGTTATACATGTACAAAATTTGAACATAAAGCAAATTCTACAAACCTTATAATGAGAATCAGCAGTTGCTTGGCTCAATCCCTTCTGACCCTGAAATTCTTCTCCCTAGATTCAACCATACTCAATTCTTCTAAGATTTTTGTGGTATTTTTTAATATTTCTAAGTAATATGTTTATTCTATTATTTATTTATTTTTCAATTTGGGGGAATATAAGGAATGACTATAAAGTAATGTTGAAATACATATATAGACATACAAGCTTATATACACATATGTCTCAAATTTGCATAAATGTAAACATGCTTTAGGTACTTAATACATTGTGAACTATAAAATCTGATATTATTATTTTCCTTTGGGAATTTTAATGTTTAGTATCCATTTAATATGTCATAATATTATTTTTTAATATTCTGTAATATTCTGATTGTTTTCTGTCTTTTTTAGATAGGCTCAGATTTTTTAGTCTTATCCTAAAGGTATGTATTTTTAATTATTAACAAATTATCCCTGGAGGCTCCTGCACTTTATTCTACTTAACAATTTATATTTGGTATTATCTAGTCTTTTTTCATGGCTCATATAACAATGACTTTATTTTCTTACCTCTGATAAGTCTCTTACATTAAAACAATCCTGCAGAATTCAAAATCAACTATCAGAATTCTAAGTGGATGCTTGAATTTTTTTTAGAGTAACGTTGTAACATAGAATTGCAGCTTGAACTATAGAATATTATGAAAGCTTTGTATGAAATTAAATTTGTTGTTTAAAGTTCATAATACACAAAATTACATAATTTTACAAAACCAAAACAATTATACTTAATAAAATAACAGTTAAATCATAGAAACAATTATAATACTTTTGTGGAAAAGTACACATCTCAATTAACTTATTAAGTCTTTAAAAATTAAATAATAGAGAAATATATATTATGAGGATATCCTCCATAAAAATTACAATGTTAGCATGAAATTTTTAGTTTACTCAGTTGAATTTTTAATGTTGTTTCCAGTATTTGAGTATGTTCACCACTTACATGACTGTCATTTCCTGTTTCCACAATCTTTGCAAGATTGAAAAATGAATACAAATGAAATTATACTGATACACAGAAAGAGCTATTTGGATTTTTATACTTTGCTCCTATTGTTGGTATTCCAAGCAACCACTGTAAAAAATCTTTCAAATACATATAGTTTTGACTAATGTTTTGATTAATGCCTTGTTTTTTTCTCACCTAATATCAGAATTTTCACTATATTCAGTGTAACCTTTTGAAGAACAAGACCCTGGAACACTTTGTTTACTTAGTCCCATGAAAGTTATAAATATGGTATGTCCCACTTTATACTGAAATAACTTAAAAAGGAGATGATGTAGCATAATGGCTAAAAGCTAAATCTCTAGAGTCAAAAAATCTAGGATTGAACTATGGTTCTACCATTTACTAGGTTTTCAATCATTTTAGGTCTCAGATTTTTCATTAGTAAATGGAGGATAATAATACCTACCTCCCGGAATTGTTGTAAGGATTAAATGTAATTATGTTTTTATGAGGCACTTAAAATAATGCCTTGCATACAATAATTACTCAATATAAAATGTTAGCTATAATTATCACTGGAATAAAAGTTTTCTAGCTACTTCTATTGCGTGCGTCATATGAAGTGTAGTTTTGGATCCAGGCTACACAATGGCTGTGTAGCCATTGTGGATGCTAAATAATAAGATAGTTGGAACACATTGCACTTCTTTTCAGGGCCAGGGCAAGAGTTCAACCATTATCAGCAGTGAATAAACTAATAAAGAATTTTTTTTTTCCACCCGGTACAGAATTGAGAACATGGGCCAAGATAAGCAGGCATGAGAAATCCGTAGTGGTAATAAATGTGGTTTCATCAGTTACAGCCAATGGTCTAAATGGGTTCTCACTATGTAAGGAATGAATTTAAAAAGATGCCTAAATTAGATCAAAACTTCCTTAGTCTGGGTGGTATATGTGGATTTTACTCTGGCTCATCATAATTATTAGGTTAATTATAGAATGTTTATTTTATCTTCAAACTTTATTATAATTTGTACTTTATTTTCCTTTAAAGCATTGTTCTTTTTCTCTGTTTTTCATTCCCCAAGAATATACAAAATAGGAAACTTTTTTAGAAAATGGCATTTTAATAAGAGCACAAAATATAAGATTAAGATACTTGGAATGGCATTCCTTCTCTGATATTAATCAAGCCTGTTCACCTTGAAATATCACATAATGCCTATTCTTCTCTGATTTTTTTAATAAGCTGGTATAATGATCAAATAAAAATAATGTGGCTTCTATGTTTTTTGGTTGGATTGTTTTATGGTGTTAATATTATTTTATCAACCCTATTAAAATTATATTAATATTTCCTGCACTGAAGGACAAATGTAAAATATGATAGATTTAATGTAGATAAATTTTAAGTCATTGAGAAAAGTAAAAATAATGTTCTATTAGAAACCTTATATGTGGAAATTGCTCATAATAAAGATAAACATAACAAAATTTGAGGCTTCCTTGCCTTTCCATTTCTTAAATGTTTCTACATTTTTAATTCTTCTATGTTTTAAACATTTCAATGTCTTAAAATAAAGGGAGAAATTACAGAGAAAGAGGACTGATTTGCAAGTAAAGAGATGGTAGTAGTAGATAATTTCTGGAAACTACACAGAAACACAGCAGCATAATATTAATTACACAGTTTCTTTTCTCTAAAATGATAAAGAAAAAACATTTGAAAATGACACATAAAAGTGTAATTTGTTTTGAGAAAGAAGCTTTCAAAATTCACAGTGGTCCTGCCTACAGTGAATGGGAGTCAGTGAGATAAATTGTGAAGAAAATGGATGGTGGAGTCAGTTTGTATCATAATGGAAATGTTATTTATTTACTCTGTCCTCTAATTTCCTCCTATGAGAAAGCAGGAAAATAAAAAATAAAAAACCATGGTAAGTTTGCTTTGAAGCTTATATTGGACAATATATGTAAAGGATAGTGTCTAGAAATACTTGGTGTTTGTAAATATTTAATTTCTTATTTTCTTTTCTGTGAAATAGAGAAATTATTAATTATGAATTTTTTATCATGTTTAAATTGACATTACAACTGTAACAATATCTAAACATCATGCTTTCCATTGGTCAATAAGTTGACCAAACTAAACAAACATGTCTGTATGAACCAAAGTTACACGTATTTATCAATACAATGAAAAGTTAATTCTTAGGGTACAGCAAATATATCTGTGTTATGACATATTTAAGTTTCTGTTAAGAATAAATAAAAGGTGCTCATTTCAGAAGCACATATACTAAAATTAGAACAATACAGAGAAGATTAGAATGCCCCCTGGCAAAGATAACATGCAAATGTATGAAGCATTCTGTATTTGTACTATCTAAGGTCAATGCTAAAGAAAAGAATATTAAAAACAGCTAGAGAAAAGGGTCAAATTACCTATAAAGGAAATCAAAACAGAGTTAAGAGCAGACTTCCCAGGAGAAACTTTACAAGCCAGATGAGATTGGGGGCCTATTTTTAGACTTCTTAAGAAAAATAAATGTCAACCAAGAATTGCATATCCTGCCAAACTAAGCCTCTTAAAGAAGAAGTTAAAAATTTCCCAGATAAGCAAATGCTAAGGGAATTCATCACAACCAGACCAATCATGTAAGAAATGCTCAAAGGAGTTTTAAACATGGAAAAAAAAGACAATACTTGCTACCATAAAAGCACACTTACAGACAAAATCCACAGGTCCTCTAAAGCAGTTACACAATTGAGACTACACTGTATCTAGTCAAAAACACTATGACAGGAACAAAACCTCACATATCAATATTAACTTTTAACATAAATGGCCTAAATACTCCACTTAAAAGATGTAGATTGGCAAATTGGATTTAAAGATGACCCAACCATCTGTTGCCTTCAAAAACCCACCAAACATGTAATGACCCCCACAAACTCAGAATAATGGAGTAGAAAAAGATATATCACACAAATGAAAAACAAAAAAGAAGCAGGGGTTGATATTCTTGTATCAGATAAAATAGACTTTAAAACAACAGTAAAATAAAAAAAGACAAAGAAAGGCATCATATAATGCTAAATGGCTCAATTAAACAAGAAAATTTAATTATTCTAAACATATATACACCCAACACCAGAGAACACCGAGTAATAAAACAAATATTACTAGACCCAGTAAAGAGACAGGCATTCATATAATACTAGTAGGGAGCTTTAAAACCCTACTAGAAGCACTAGACAGATCACTGAGGCAGAAAACTAACAAATAAACTCTGGAATTAAATTGGACTCCTGAACAATAGACCCAATACACATCTACACAAAATTACGCTAAAAAGATATATAATTTTTTCTCATCTGTACATGGAACTCTAAAATTGATCATATGCTTGGTCATAAATAAAGTCACAATCATTTTTTAAAAATCTCAATCATATCAAGCACCTTTTCAGATCACAGTGAAATAAAACTAGAAATCAATACTGAGAGAAACTCTCAAAACCACACAAGAACATAGAAACTAACTTCATTCTGAATAATTTTTGTGTAAGCAATAAAAGGCAGAAATTTAAAAAATGAAGTAAATGGAAACAGAGAAATAACATACTGAAACTTCTGTGATACAGAAAGTGTTAAGGGGAAAGTTTATAGCACTAAATGCCTACATAAAAAAAATAAAGATCTTAACAACTTTCACATTATGAATAATATTACAGAAATACAAAAGCTTCTTAGAGACTGCTATGAACATAAGTATGCACACAAACGAGAAAACCTAGGGGAAATGGAAAAAATCCTGGAAATATACAGTCTCTCAATATTGAACCAGGAAGAAGTTGAAATTCTGTACAGGAAAATAATGAGGTATGAAAATGAATTAGTAATAAAATTTCTACCAAAAGAGAAAATAGAACCAAGCAGATTCATAGTCAAATTCTGTCAGATAAAGAAGAGCTGGTACCAATCTTACTGAAACTGTTCCAAAAAGTCAAGAAAGAAGAATTTCTTCCTAACTAATTTTACAAAACCAGTATCATCCTGATAGCAAGATTCAATAAAGACACAAACGACAATGACAACAAATTACAGGCCAATATCTCTGATGAACATGTAGACAAAAATCCTCCACAAAATACTAGCCAAATGAATCCAGCAATAAAACAAAACATAATTAATCATGATCAAGTGTGTTTCATTGCAGAGATGAAAGGATAGTTCAAAATACACAAATCAATAAATCTGATTAACCACATAAACAGAATTTAAAAAAAAACCATATGGTCATCTCAATAGAGGCAGACAAAGCATTTGATAATACCCAACATCCCTTTATAACTAAAGCCCTCAACAAACTAAGCATTTAAGGAACATACTTCAAAATAATAAGAGCCATATATGATAAACCCACAGCCAGTGTTATACCACATGTGGAAAAGTTGAAAATATTTCCCCTAGGAACTGAAGCAAGACAAGGATGTCCACTTTCACCACTGTTATTCAACATAATACTGGAAGCCCTAGTCAGAGATATCAGGCAAAAGAAAGAAAAAAAAAGGCGTCTAAATTGGAAAAAAAAAGAAGCCAAATTATCTCTGACTGCTGATGACATAATCTTATACACAGAAAATCCTAAACAGTCCTCCAAAATACTCCAAGACTTGATAAAGAAGTTTAGTAAAGGTCCAGGATGCAAAATTAACATACAAAAATTAGTTGTATTTCTATGCACCAACACTCAAACTGAAACCAAATCAGGAACTAAATCCCAATTACAATAGCTGTATAAACAAAAAATACCTGACAATGCATTTAACCAAGGCAACGAAAGACTGCTACAGGAGAACTACAAAACACTGATGAAAGAAATTATAGATAACACAGACAAATGTCAAAACATCCCAGTCTCATGGATAAGAAAAATCAATATCATTTACATGACTATACTGCCCAAATCAATCTACAGATGCAACACAATTTCTATCAATTTACCAATGTTATTTTTTACAGAATTAGAAAAAAACTATTCTAAAATTCATAGAAAACCAAAAATATCCTGAAGAGCCAAAGCAATCCTAAGTAAACAAGCAAAACAACAACAACAAAAAAACTGGAAGCATCTTGTTACCTGACTTCAAACTATATTACAGTGCTATAGTAACCAAGGAAGCATGGTACTGGTATAAAAATACACACATAGATCAATGGGATAGAATAAGGAACCCACAAATAAAGCCACATACATAAAAGAAACTGATCTTTGACAAAGTTGTCAAAAATAAACAATGGGGAAAGGATATTCTATTCAATAAATGGTGCTAGGAAAACTGGGTAGGCATATGCAGAAGAATGAAACTGGACCACTAGCTCTCATTACGTACAAAAATTAACTCAAAATGGATTAAAGACTTAAATGTAATACCTGAAAGTATAAAAATACTAAAAGAAAATCTAAGAAAAATTATTCTGGACACTGGCTTAGGCTAAGAATTTATGATTAAGACTTCAAAAGCAAATGCAATAAAAACAAAAAATATGTCCAGTGGGACTTAAACTAAAGAGCTTCTGCACAGCAAAAGAAATGATCAGAAAAGTAAACGGTCAACCTACAAAATGACAGAAAGTGTTTTCTAACTCTGCATCTGACAAGGGACTAATATTCAGATTATATAAAGAACTTAAGCAAATCAACAACAAAAAAACACAAATAAATCCATCAAAAAGTGGGCAAAGAACCTAAACAGAGATTTCTCAAAAGAAGACATACACGTGGTCAATAAACATGTGTATAAGTGATCAACATCACTAATTATCAAAGAAATGCAAATTAAAACCACAATGAGATATCATCTCACACCAGTCAGAATGACTATTATAAAAAGTCAAAAACTAACAAATGTTGTCAAGGATGCAGAGAAAATAGAATGCTCATATACTGTTGGTGGGAATGTAAATTAGTTTAGTCATACGGAAAACAGTATGTAGACTTTTCAAAGGACTAAACATAGAACAGCCACTACCATTTGACCCAGCAATCCTATTACTGGGTATTTACCCAAAGAAAAAGAAATTGTTTCATCAAACAGATACCTGCACTTGTGTGTTTACTGCAGCACTATTCACAATAGCAAAGTCATGGAACTAACCTAAATATCCATCAGTGGTTGACTAGATTAAAAAATGTGGCTTGTATGCACCACAGAATACCATGCAGCCATAAAAAAGAATGAAATCATGCCCTTTGCTGCAACATGGATGAAGCTGGAGACTATTCCTAAGTAAAATAACTGAGAAGCAGAAAATCAAATATTATATGTTCTCACTGATAAGTGGAAGATAAAAAATGGAATGGGCATGCGTAGACACAAAGATGGAAATAATAGACACTGGTGACTACAAAAGGCGAGAGACAGGGAGGGGAAAGGATTCAAAAACCTCCCTATCATGTGCTATGTTCACTATTTGGGTGACGGGTTCACCAGGAGGAAACCTCATCATTACACAATAAACCCATGTAGCAGACCTGCACACGTATCTCCTGAACTTAAATTTTTTTTAATTAGTTAAATAAAAAATAAAAATAATGAGCAAAAGAAAAAAGTAAGAATACCAAAAAACAATGTTGAGAACCTATTCTTATCCAAAGTACTTACAAGATAAGACATATTTTCATTAGTTAATTAGTTTATGTAAGTGTTGGTATTATGAACCACAAAGTGTAAACTAGACAGTAAATGTTTCTTTACAACCAGATTACATGTTGTATAAAATAGAGCTAAATAAAGAATATCTTTATCACTTCCTTTTAAAACACTTATACTCTAGCAGCATGTAGTTAACTATTTTTGGCTTATGCAAAGAAGATTTTCAGTTGGTATTTTTAAAATTATTATGTTAATTCTCTTCACTATCTGTAGGTGGTTGCACCATTATGCTTTACATTACTCTCAATATGTTCCATATACAGATATATAGGTTTTCTGTGGTTTGAAACACTATAGAAAAAAATACCCTTGGAAAAATAGAATTCTGATGGATATTAATTTTTAAATAAACTATATTTTCTAGAGATAATTTATACTATCCTAGAGGACAGAAATAGAGATAATGAAGATCTGTAGGTAGACTACAAGCTAGTATCAGCAATTTAAACCATTGTTCTTGCCAGATATTTTATCTCTTTTATCAACAAAAAGCAAAATTAACTAATTTATTGTTGAGAATCATCCTCTTCTTCATTATGATCAACTATTTATTAATAGTATTATTAATCTTCACAAACTAAATCTATTATAGTTATATAGTTTTACTCCCTTTAATAAAAATGGGCTACCCTGGCTATTCTGGGTTGCCTATACAACTCTTTGGTTGTGGGTTGTCTATACAACCCTTTTGGGTTGGCTAACTGGAATGAATTAAGTGTTGTCCTTATGACGTTAATTGGACTGAGTTTTCTGGGTATCCATTTGCGTTGGTAAATTCAAATGATCAGAAGACATTTTTCATTATGCTGAAATTAGGCATAAAATTTGCCCAAATATAAATTTCCTACAATTTAAAAAACAACAATAACAACAAAAAACTAGCAAACAAATGAGCTGGTCCAGATATAGATAGGGGTACCTTCTTTGGTAACTTCTACCAAATATTTAAGAAAGGAAACTCAATATTACATAAACAAATCAAGAATATTAAAGGTGAAAAAAAGGCTTTCTAAATAGTTTTGTGAACATAGGATGACTTTGATATCAAATCATGACAAAGACCTAATAAGAAAAACAATTCAGGCCAATGGCTATTATTGAACATTGATATCAAGATTCTAAATATATTATTAGCTATGTGAATATATTAAGGAATAAAGGGAATTATAAATCAAAACAAATTATGCTTATTCTGGGAACACAATATTTTTCATGATTTCAAGGATGTACACTTATCTGCAAACTCATGAATTAGTTTATGTTAAATATGTACAAGTTTTCATTTGTCCATCATACCTCAAAAGATATTTTAAAACATTTAATTAACAATAAAAATGAATTCATGCAAATTTATACATTACAGGAGAAAATATATACAAAAAAGGGTAATTATAAATGAAAGATTGAGAATTTTATTACATTCAAATTATTAACCTAATGTTTATCAAATAAACCATCAGGGTAGTAAAACTTATATTTCTTAAAAAATTTTAATTGTTTCCTAAAAATTTGAAATATACTTGTACAATGAATTTAGCTCTACTTTTATTAGCACTATACTATTACATGTGTAGTGCAAGTTAACTTGGAATATTATTAACTTGTCTCACAACTCTTACAGTGTTTTGCCATTCATTTTACTTATCCATGAAACATAATCACGTTGTTATGATGATTTTGGTTAAGTTATGTATAAGAAATATAATTGATATTCTAATAAGGACATAAAATGAAATATAAAATGTTCAGTTAAAACTACAAAAGGCAGAAAAAGAGTGGAACTAACAGAAACAGAGGGCAAAACCAATAAGTAGAAAAAAGTAACAAATATGGTAGATATTAATCCAACTATATCAATATTCACTTTAAATGTCAGTGGTCTGAATACTCCAATTAAAAGAAAGATGCTAACATAGTGGATTTAAAATAATCATAAACATATGTTCTCTTCAATACACCCATTTTAATATAAAAAATAGATTAAAGGTAAGAATTGGGAAATATTCTATCATGTTAACACTAATAACAAGAAATATTGAGTAGTTATATTAATTTTAGATACAGCCCACTTTGGAGCAAAAAATAAAATGACTAGAGACAAAGAAGTATATTACATAATTAGGAAGGAGTCCATTTTTAAGAAGATATAACAATTCTCAGTGTGTATGGGCCTAATAACAGAGTGTCGAAATAGGTAAGACAAAAACGGTAAGAAATGCAAGAATAAATGGATTAATACTCCATTGTAGTTGGAGACTTCAATACTCCTCTATCAGTAATTAAAAGATCCAGTAACAGAAAATCACTAAGGACGTAGTTGAACTCACCAACTTCATCAACCAACTGGATGTAATTTACATGCATAGAGTATTTTATTCAACAACAGAAGAATACACATTTTTTCCAAGCCCAGATTAAACATTTAACAGGATAGAACGTATTTTGGGACATAAAACACATCTTAACAATTTTTAAAAATATTAATCACACAAAATATACTGTCTTTGTTCTCAGATAACATGATTGTCTATGCATAAAATTCCAAGCAATCAACAACAAAATACTTGAACTAATAAGCAATTAAAATAAGGTTGCAAGATGCAAGACTAACATACCCAAGTCAACAGAGAATAATTAAAATTTGAAATTAAAATCAAAATTGTATTTACATTAACACCTAAAAATGAAATACTTAGTTAAAAATCTAGTAGAATATGTACAAAATATACATAGGAAAATCATAATACTCAGATGAAAGAAATCAGAGAAGATACAAATAAATGGAGATATGTTTTATATAAATAGAATATTATCCATAGAGGCAACACAATCTCAATCAAAATCTTAGCAAATAATTTTATGAATGTTGAGAAATAGATCATAAAGTTTATATATGAAGGCAAAACACACAACCTGGCCAACACAATATTGAAAGACAAGACAAACTTGGAAAGCTGACACTACCTGACTTTGAGACTTAGTATAAAGCTAAAGCAATCAAGAAAGTATGGTATTGGCAAAATATTATACAAATATATACTGGAGTAGAATAGAGTCCAGAAATAGACCTTTACAAATATAGTCAACTGATTTTTGAGTAAGGAGAAAAGGCAATATATGAATTAAGGATTTTTTCCAGCAAATAGTGCAGGAACAACTGGATAACTTCATTCACAAAATACATAAACAAAAACAAACCAGACACGGAAGTTGTACTTTTCAAAAATTAATTTTAAAAATCCAGGTTAAAAATGCAAAACTATAGAACTCCTATAAGATATCATAGAAAAAATGTCAGGTGACCTTGGATTTGGCAGTGACATTTTAGATACAAGAACAAAGGCATGATCTATTTAAATAAAATAATAAGCTGGTCTTCATTAAAACTTAAAAACTTTGCTCTTCAAAAGACACTGTCAAGACAGTGAGAAGACAAGCTACAGAATAGAAGAAGAATTTTGCAAAAGACATATAGAATAAAAGGACTGTAATCCAAAATATGACAAGAACACAAAGTTTAACAATGTAAAAAACAAAGAACTCAAAAACGGGCTAGTGATCTAAACAGATACCTCATCAAAGAAGGTATACAAATGGCAAATAAGCTTATAAAAAGATGTTCTTCTTTCTCTTTAAGGAGTTGCAAATTAAAACAACAATGAAATACAATTACCCACCTATTAGGAGGGTAAAAATTCAAAACATTGACAAAACCAAACACCAGAGAAAATGTACAGGAACAGGAGCTCTCATTCATTGTTGACCATAATGCAAAATGGTATAAACATTTTAGAAGATATTTGGCAGTTTTTTATTTTTTCTTTTTCAATTCGTATTTTAGAATCGTGGGTACATGTGCAGACTTGTTCCAAAGGTATGTTGTGTGATGCTGAGGTTTGGGGACTGAATCCATCACTGAGGTAGTGAGCATAGTACTCAATAGGTAGTCTTTCCAGCCTTGCCCCACTCCCTTCCTCTCCTCTCTAGTGGCCCTCAATGCCTACTATTCCCATCTTTATGTCCATGTGTCCCCAGAATTTAGCCTCTAAATAAGGTGAGAGGATGCAGTATTTGATTTGTTGTTTCTGCATTAGCTTGCTTAGGATAATGGCCTCCAGCTGCACCTATGTTGCTGCAGAGCACATGATTTCATTCTTTTACATTATTGCATAGTATTCCCTGGTGTATATGTATCACATTATCTTTATCCAACCCACCATTGATGGGCATTTGAGTTGATTCCATGTTTTTGCTATTGTGAATAGCACTGTGATGAATACACAGGGATGCATGTCCTTTTGATAGAAATATTTATTTTTCTTTTGGGTATATGCCCACTAATGGGATTGTTGGATTGAATGGTAGTTCAACTCTTACTTCTTTGAAAAATCTCCAAACTGCTCTCCCAATTGGCTGGACTAATTTACATTCTCAACAACAGTGTATAAGTGTCTTATTTTATCTGCAGCCTTGCCAACATCTGTAATTTTTTGGCTTTTTAACAAAATTCATTCTGACTGGTGTTAGAAGGTATTTCATTGTGGCTTTGATTTGCATTTATCTGATGATTGGAGATGCTGCACTTTTTTCATGTTTGTTACCTGCTTGTGTGTCTTTTCAGAAGTATCCGTTCATGTCCTTTGCCTACTTTTTAATAGAGTTCTTTGCTTTTTGCTTTTTTATTTGATTAAGTTCCTTACAGATTATGGAGGTTACATCTTTGTCAGATGCATAGTTTGGGAATGTTTTCTCCCCTTATGTAGTTTGACTGTTTACTGCCTTAGTTTCTCTTCTTGTGCAGAAGCTCTTTAGTTTAATTAGGTCTCACTTGTCAATTTTTGTTTCTGTTGCAGTTGCTTTTGAGGAAATAGATATAAATTCCTTGCCAAGGCCAATATTAAGACAGCTATTGCCTAGGTTTTCTTCTAGTACTTTGATACTTTGAGGTCTTAGACTTAAGTTTTAATCCATCTTGACTTAATTTTTGCATATGGTGACAGGTAGGGGTCCAATTTCATTCTTATTCTTATGTATAGCCAATTATCTCAGCACCATTTTTTGAACGAGGAATCTTTTCCCCTTTGCTTATTTTTGTCAAATTTTCAAAGATCAGATGGTTGTAGGTGTGTGGCTTTATGTTTGTGCTCTCTATTCTGTTCCATTGGACTATGTGTGTTTTTGTACCAGTACCATGCTGTTTCAGTTACTGTAGTTTTGTAGTATGGTTTGAGGACAGGCAATGTGATGCTTCCAGCTTTTTTTCTATTGGATTAGGATTGCTTTCACTATTCAAGCTTCTTTTTCATTTCATATGAATTTTAGAATAGTGTTTTCTTAATTCTGTGAAAAATGATTTTGGTAGTTTGATAGGAATAGTGTTGAATCTGCAGATTGCTTTGGGTAGTATGGCCATTTTAACAATATGATTCTTTTGATCCATGAGCACGGGATTTGTTTCCATTTATTTGTGTCATCTATGATTTCTTTCAGCAGTGTTTTGTAGTTCTTCTTGTAGAGATCTTTCACCTCCTTTGCTAGATGCATTCCTAGGTATTTTATTTTTTGTGTGTGTGGCTATTGTAAATGGGATTGTGTTCTTGATTTGGCTCTGAGATAGAATATTATTGGTGTATAGAAATGCTACTAATTTTTGTACATTGATTTTGTATCCGGAAACTTTACTGAAGTTTTTCTTCAAGTTCTATGAGGCTTTTGGCAGAGTCTTTAGTGTTTTCTAGGTATATAGAATCATATAAATGACAAGGAGACATAGTTTGACTTTTTTTTCCTATTTGGACACCTTTAATTTATTTTTCTTGCCTGATTGCCCTGGTTTCAATTTTCAGTACTATGTTGAATAGGAGTGATGGGAGTGGGCATTCTTCCCTTGTTGTGGGTCTCAAGAGAAATGTTTTCAGGTTTTGCCAATTCCATATAATGTTGACTGTGGGTTTGTCATAGATGGCTCTTATTATTTTGAAGTATGTTCCTTCAATGACTAGTTTTTTGAGGGATTTTACCATGAAGGGATTTAGGATTTTATCTAAAGCTTTTTCCACATCTATCGAGATGTTCATTTAAATATTGTTATTAATTATTTTCATATGGCAAATCATATTTATTGATTTGCAGGTGTTAAAACAACTTTTCATGCCAGTAATAAGGCCTACTTGATCACAGTGAATTTACTTTTTGTTGTGTTTCTGGATTCAGTTTGCTAGTATTTTGTTAAGAATTTTTGCATCAAGGTTCATTAGGGATATTAGCCTGAAGTTTCACTTTTTTGCTGTGTCTCTATATTTGGCAATTTTGTATAAAACTAAACATATACTTGATTACAATCCAGCAATTGTACTCTTTTGTATTTCACCTAATTATTTGAAAATTGTGTCTACACAATAACCTGCATACACATGTTTACAGAAGTTTTATTTGTAATTACCTCAACTTGAAAGCAACCAAGATGTTTTTCATAGGGGAATGAATAAACTGTGGTACATCTATACAATGGAATATTATTCAGTAAAAAATAAATAAATGAAAATAAAATGACCTATCAAGCCATAAATAAACAAGCAGGAACCCAAAATGCATAATTCTAAGTGACACAGGTCAATGTCAAAATATTACATACTCTATGATTCCAACTATATAACACTCTGGAAAGGGCAAAATTATGGAGACAGTAAAAGATCAGTGATTGTCACGTTTCAGAAGGTGGGAATAAATAGGTGGAGTACAGGATTTCAAGGGCAGTGAGACTATTCTGTGTTATAGTATAATGGTGGATATACATTATATATTTGTCAAAACCCATAGTATGTACAATACTAAAAGTGAAACTTGATATAAACCATGGAATTTAGCTAATAATAATGAATCTATATTGGCTCATCAATTGTAACTAATGTATCACATTAATGCAATATAATAATAAGGGAAGCTGTGTGTGATTGAGTATATGGGAACTCTTTGTACTTTCCATTTAATTTTTTTTTTTTTTTTGAGATGGAGTCTTGCTCTGTCACCCAGGCTGGAGTGCAGTGGCGCGATCTCGGCTCACCGCAAGCTCCGCCTCCTGGGTTCACGGCATTCTCCTGCCTCAGCCTCCCAAGTAGCTGGGACTACAGGTGCCCGCCACCACGCCCAGCTAATTTTTTTTTTTTTTGTATTTTTAGTAGAGATGGGGTTTCACCGTGTTAGCCAGGATGGTGTCCATCTCCTGACCTTGTGATCTGCCCACTTCGGCCTCCCAAAGTGCTGGGATTACAGGCGTGAGTCACCGCACCCGGCCCCATTTAAATTTTATAAATCTAAAATTTCCCTAGTAACTAGTCTACTGATAAAAAAAAAATAAGTTGGACTATTCTTACATGTGTATTCTTCTTGGTCTCATTTCACTGTGCTTCATGTAATAATAAATAGCTTATTTTGCTTTGAAATCAGATAAATAAAAGTTCGAATTCAGGCTCTGTGACATCTTTTATATTATATTGGAAAAGTTACTTTGTCATTGTCTCACTTTTCTCATCTGTAAATTGTTCTTAACATTGCATTCTCTGCTGGCACAATGTGGACTTTTTCTATTTTTTTAGTTTTTATATACAGAAATATATTATGTGTGTTGTCCTGTTTGGGTCAATTAGATCCACTCTCATACCCCTTTCTCTCTTTCACTCATATTAAGAGATCAGATCATTTAATCTCTTACTGGTATAATCACCGTGGGCTTATGTGGAGATCAACGGAAGATATTTCTCCACTAGAGAATCGCTAAGGGACTGTCCCTAGGACAGAGGCATTGGCCAGACATGTTTATTAGAACACATTATCATCATCTCTGTTCTTCTTTCAAAGCCAGGCTAACCTGTGTCTTAGAGACTGCTTAGTGCAAAGAAAAAAAAAATCTAAGAATTGAACAGAGAGCAATAAATTTCTCCACCGTGTTCTAGAGTTTTGTTTGTTTGTTTTTTGCACTATCCTATATTGGAATGTGAGACTCTCTGAATATTGAAAAGATAATGTCTATAACACATGTATGGAACATTTTGCTGTTTATGAAGTACTTGTACATTTCTCATTTCATTTGATTTTTGTAACAATGCTGTGAGGTCTTTGTGGCCAAAGTCTGAACTATGATTAACATGATTAGGCAACATACATTTCTTCAGGTTTTTGATAGAGACCTGACATTTCTATGTAGTTTAAAATAAAGAATAGATATTCTTACTTCATTTCCTTCCTAACCTTGTGACTTTCATGATTCATTCTTAATGTAACTAATAACTCCACTTTACATTAAGTAATTATGTTGTGTGTGCAAACATGTATGTTCTTTATTGCTGCTGTTATTTTTAGCAGATGTGTCTTTTTTCATTGCCACTATGCTGTATTATTTCTCTCTTTGGCCAACTTATTTCGACCATTATTTTTATATGCACATTTGTGTTTGCAATAAACATTTTTAACTTATGCAAAAAGATATTAATATATAAATCTTATGGTACAAGGTAATGTTTTATCTAATCATAAGAAATAAGAAGCTCTGTTATCTAATTCTGTTTGCTCTAAGAAGCACTAGACCAGCACCTTTGCAATGGACATTTCTTAGAATCGCAATTACAGTAGCATTCATTTTTCAGTATGCCTTATAATCTGTAACTTTTAAATGCTTTTTGATGCTATATTTTAAGGTGATTGTATTCATTCAATTAAAAATGAAAAATTAGATATACGTGCAATTTAAATGGCCAGAATTTAATTCCCTTCCCATTTTGCAGTTTCTCGTATTTTGGAAATGTCTCTGCTCATTAAGCTCACTTCAGACATGCATCTCCATTCTGTAAGTCCTCTCAAGTGGGCAACTATTCTTATTCAAAAGATAAATATGCAGGGTACTGAAATGTACAGGCTTGTCACATAGATCAAATTAGTGATTAAACCAGCAAGAAGATTTAAAATTTGGCCTTTCCTTTCCTTTAATCATCTGACATATTTTCTTCCATTAAAATCCATACTTTGACCACTCTATGGCACTTTTTAAAAGCAAATTTTATATTTTTCAAAAATAAAATTTTATAATTGATCGTGGGCTCACAAGGTTACTTGGAGTCAATTTATTGAAACGACATTTCTTTCAGAAGCGTATTTCAGAATAAGTGTGGAGAACAGTTTTATACCTGCAAGGTGTAAACTTCAGTCAAAAGGGAGGCCAGAGAGCATAATTGTTAAAAGAGTGTTGTGGCATTGATCTAGTGGTGACACTGATTTGCCATTGCCCTTTTTTAGACAACAGAACATTTTTACTTTAACATAATTTTTATTTTGCTACTTTTTGATTATTTTCTGCTAAAATTAGGCAACCAAGTATACAACATTAAATTTTGGAGAAAGATTTCTTTACAAAGAGTTTCTGCTAAGCGAAATAGAATTTAGAATGTGTTAGTCTTGGAATTTTTATCATAGACTATTATATATGCTATCATAATTAAAATATTTGGAATTGAAATAGTTGAAAGGCCATCATAATTGAAATAATTGGGCTACAGAAATATAACATAACAGAATTTTAGTTTCATATTTGTTTGTGCCTAAGGGATTGAATTTCCATCCAGAAACCATAACCAGAAGCTTTAATAAAGCAGGTTGTTTGTATTTAAGCATGTGTAAGATTAATTTGTGATTCAAGATACTGCATTAATTAATCCTTTGAATGGAAATTACCTTAACTCCTTGCTATTTCTTGATTTTAATCAAATGTACTTGCTGTTTTGGTTATAATAAATACTAATTTGCCTTCTATTTCTAATTTATGGTAACTTAAATATGAGTTTAATTTATTTATATTTTATAAATAAATTGTCTAAGAAATTATTTAACCAAAATAAGTGGTGAGTAGTGAAAAAAAATTTTGAAACATTTTTACAGTGCACAATTATATGTGCAAATCTAATTTTATTACAGATAGGTTGTACCTATCCATCAAATCTTATTTTATTTGACCTGTGATATAGATTTAATAGAGTTAACAGAGAATACTCTGTTCAATACTTTTCATGTTAACAAGTATTCATTATCTATGTGCAAAATACAAGAGAAGACACCGTGGAAATACATGAAAAGAGTAAGATGTGATTATTATTCTTAGGGAATTTACAGGAGTGAGGGGATGATAGAAGTTTATATATTAGAGAATTAGAAAATAATACTAGTGATTTGGATAATTACAAGCAGTAATGAGGGAGACAGAACTGATCTCAATTCAGCTTAACTGCCTGAATCATTTTGAACATATTCAATGTAAGATAAAATTGCACAAATAGGTAAAATAATGAAGGTCTGTGAAAACCAATCATAATGGAATGAAAGACAGATATTATAGGTGTTTTCCGTAGGAGATATTACTTAGATTCTCATTGGGTATATTGCACAGTAGTGAAAGAAAATTGTAAATTATGATAAATATTTTCATAGACTGATAATATTTTTATTAACATGAAGGAGGTCATACATAGAGGTATTCAAAGTACAAATTTCAGAAGATTATTAATTTAGTTTGGAATATGTTTACTACAATAATAATTGGTAAATCACTTACACCTGCATAATTAACAAGTATTCTGGATTCTCTATACTGTGTGTTAGTGTTAGACAACAGAGACTCATTTCTTCCTGCTTTGTTTTGAGTGTGATCTGATACGTACAGATCTGTTGTTAAATGTCTGATCTTTCTACAACTACTCAGATCATTTCTTTAAGTTGCCATGAGTTCTTGACATTGTTACAATAGTTACTGTCTTAGTCCATTTCTTGCTGCTATAGCAGAATACCCGCGACTCAGCAATTTACCAATAACAGAAATTTCTCATAGCACTGAAGGCTGAGAAGTCCAAAATTAGAAATCTGGCAAGTTTGACATCTGGTAACAGATCTGTCTCTGCTTTCAGGATGGTGCCTTGCATCCGGCATTATTTGAAGGGGAGAAATACTGTTTCTCAAATGGCAGAGAAACAGAAGAGAGCGAACTTATTTCCATAAGCACTTTTCATAGGGGCCTTAATCCATTCATGAGGGTGGAGCCCTTAAGACTTAAACATCTCCCATTAGGCCCCATCACCCAACACTGATGCATTGAAGATTAAGCTTTCAACATATGAATTTGGAAGGGACAAAAACGTACAAACCATTGTACTTGCCTATACTACCAAGCATCAAAATGAGTTATGCTGTCCCTGTCTGACAATGTGGCTTTTGATTTTCTACTGTTTCCTAAGGCTTCAGTGGCCATATCATGTCACCTTTACTAGTACAAAGTTCTAAGTGTCATGAAGAAGTTCGCCGTCATACTTGGTGGATGTTTTGAAATGAATTTTATCAGTTTCTCCCAATAAGTTTTGTTAGAATAAATTTTACCCACATTAGTTTCAAATTGGAAGTGGCAGTACCAGCAATTTTTGAAGTCTGCCTTGGACACATTTTGGGTTTTAAATTATTGGACAGCTTACTCAGAACACCTTCTACCACTAATGAGTATAGTGGGGCAATGTATGACGTGGAGACACAGTCTCAGATGTTACATTCTCCATTCTTCACAAAATACAAAATGATCACTTCAGTTTATACTTCCTCTTTCTATTAAAAGAAATATCACAAGAAAAAAATGGAGTAAAAGAAAAGATACATTAAATAAATAAAATAAATGGCTGAGAACTGTACTTCATTTAATGGTGAAATTGATAACTGTCTTAACATTGTAAACCAGAAGAATTTGTTATCTCATCCTAATTTACTGCTGGTATTTATCATCATTGAAACAAACAATTAACTGTCCATCTTTCTTCAGAAAGCACCTTAGCTCAGTATTTTTCAATGATAAAATAATTTAATAATCCCTGAGATACTAAATAAGGTGTGCATCTCTAAGAAAATGATTGATCTTTTACTAGTTTACCAGTCAGCAAGTATTATATTTATTGAGTATCCGTAATATAATAGGCACTGTGTGGTAAAATAAAGAAGTATAATTAGCTTACTCATTAATCAAATATTGAGCGCTTGAGTGACAGATCTTGCCCTTGAGCAAAAAGATACAATACAGATGAAGATATTAACATATGAACCAATTAAGAAATAATATAAAGAAATATCGGCAGGGCATGGAGGCTCACACCTGTAATCTCAGCACTTTGGGAGGCCAAGGCGGGTGGATCACCTGAGGTCAAGAGTTCAAGACCAGCCTGCCCAACGTGGCTAAAAATACAAAAAATTAGCCGGGTGTGGTGGCTGTAATCCCAGCTACTTGGGAGGCTGAGACAGGAGAATTGCTTGAACCTGGGAGGTGGAGGTTGCAGTGAGCTGAAATCGCGCCACTGCACTACAGCCTGGGTGACAAGAGCGAAACTCCATCTCAAAAAAAAAAAAAAATTCTAATCATATTCTAAGAGATATAATGCAGATTTTGACACAAAATGAATTATAATCTTTGCATGGCTGAAAAAAAGGTAATGAGGAGAAGCTAATGCACAAAGTATAAAATGATAAATTTAAAAATTCTCAGAATCCTAAACATTAATATGGAATACACATATTAGAAGAAATTTCTTAGCCTAAAACTTTAACAGAATTGTGAGTGGTAGTTTTAATATTTCATTAAAAATTCTATAAGAAATTAATTTAAAAATGTACTTTGATTCTTATTTATCTTTATAGAAATAATACTTTTTATAAATCCTAGACCTTCAAGCATCTTAGAATTCATATTATCCAACTTTTTAATTTTATCAATGAGAAAAGCATAGCACACAGTAATCCTATACTTCTATATGTAAATTTTTCATTTTTATTTTTAAGACATCAAAGTGAAGATTAATCTTCTGTGAAAATAAAGATATTACTTTGAAGGATATTTTCTCTTACAGTCAAACCAACTAGAATAAATATATTATGAATTTTATGTTACATTTGAGATGAGAGATAAGAGTTTAGGACAGAGAAGCTTAGGTTTAATAGTTCTTGACTTCACATTTTACAAAATACCCAGGTCAAAATTGGTGAAGATGATGTATATACACTAACTATGGATTTGGTATATGAAAATCATCAAGCAAGTGTTTCAGTTTTTGAGTAAAAATGAACAGCTTAATACATCTGGAAGGCAGAACAGAATATGTTTCAGCATACAAAAGTAAAACTCTCCGTGATGATTAGCAAAACAAAACATCCAAAATCCAAAGCAATCAGAGAGGCTAACAAAACAGACAGAATTGAAAATCCCAGGCATTCTCATTGCACAGTAGAATATATTTATCTTAATCAAAATCTACTTTCATCTCTCGTTCCTACATACAGTGTGCAAACATGACAACGATGTAAAATGAGGCTATGACTGTTGTGACAGGAAAACTGCCCATGTCTGTTTGCCAAGAAATCAGCCAAAACAGAGAGAATGAATGGAAATTTTCCAGGAACGTAAAAGTGAATTGAGCAGCAGTTTGTCCCTAGGCTAGTTCCAAGTTGAATATATGTGCTGCCAAACTGAGTACATGTTGTTTTCTCTTTTTTACATTTTAATTTGTTTGTATTTGCCATATTAGTGTTGAAAGTAGCTAATATTAATCAAATTCAAACTCTAACATTTAGAATTTTACACAAAATGTAACCCTTTCCTCATAAATTTACATATTTCTAGTTTTCTACATTTTATTAGTTTATATTGTCATCGATAATATTATTAACAATGATAATGATAGTCACTTTGTTTTATTTGTTGTGGCTTGGCTTAAGCTAAAACAATCAATATTTTAAATAGTTTTCCTTTTGTGTTTTTGTGTTTGTTTTTTCCATTGTCTTTGGTTTACATTTCTTTTCTCACTTTGCTTATATCACTGTATTGTCTCTATTTAGTGTAAGGTCAAAAGGGAGAGCTTCCCTTTTACCCTCTGAAGATTTGCTGAAAATGAACTGACTAAAGGCAGATTAATCGGAGAAAAAGGTATATAAAATTTATTTAATAGGCATAAACATAGGGGAACTAGAGTAGGATTATGCAATAACCCAAACAGATCAAGATGCTTATTTACCTGTCTTCATAGGGGAAGGGGAGATGGAGGTTGTGGGATTAAATGATTCTCAGGGGAAAAGAATGAGGTCCAAAAGCAATGGCATGTTACAAAGATTTTCTGAGCTCTGAGGGAGATGGTGGAAAGGCGAGGGCTGGGGCTTTACAGTGAGTAAATGTTTTATTATGCAAATAAAATCTCAGAACTGTCATTAGAATAGATGCAAAGTCTATCTGGACTTTCTGATGAATCCTAGTCTCTTTCTTCCTTCTGTGGTTAATCTTTCTCATTGTTTGATGATATTTCTAGGGAGGGAATTTTAAAACTATTACATTTCTTTGGAAAGAAGTTTTCTTAGTTAAGAAAATTTTAAAGACAGTCCCTTCTGGTTATCACCAAAGAAAAAAGATCATCTTTAACAATAACATGGATAATTGATTTCTTACTTAAAAAATAGAAAAAGGAACACAGAGATAGGGGACAAGTGAAGGTAAGAGAGAGACAGTGGTTGGGAAGCTTATTATTGAGGCCTTTCAATTTTCTTTAATTCAAAACACTTAGCATACCACAGTGCCATATTTTGGAGTACCATTTTCCATTTTCTGTAAACCAACATGAGAAATGGTAGTCCAACAGAATTTTGTTAAGATGAATGTTTACAATTTTAAATTTAGAATGATAGATACTCTGAGAATAGATAAAAACTCATTAGTTTTCTAGATCAGAGCATTTATAAAAAGGATTAAGAAATGAGATATTAGAAAAATCTTGCACATAATACCCAAAAGGGTAGGAAATGAAATATTTAATTATTTTGTTTAAATTAGAAATCTAGAACTATCTTTTTTTTTGGTTTTTACTGAATTGTATTTTATATATTACAACCATATTCTGTTGTCAATTTTTAAATAATTATACAAAATAATAAGTAATCAAATTGGGCTTACTTTTATTATCCTTAATTTTTTATACTGAACATTTTATATCTTTTTTATTGCTAAATATAAATATCAAATCTATACAGATGGAAAATATTATAAATATGATTTCTCTTGGATATTATTTCATGTAAAAACTGATTTAGAATTCATTTGCTGTAGATTCTTCTGTAACATGAAATACTTTTCAAAGGTAAAATCACCTTTGGTTTTCTAAGCAACTTCCAATATTATTTTGTATGTAGATATTCACAAAATGATAGTTCCAAAAATCATTGAGAATTCCACGAAAAATCAGAAATGAATTATAGATGACATATTTAAAAGTTTCCATTTGAACACATAGACAAGTATGAGGGCCTTTCTTAGGGTGATTTTCCTCTAGATTATATAAAGAAAACACAGTGAAATTTTCATAAAGTTGTTTAGAATTTATCAGCTATAGTTTGAAAAAAATTATGAAGTGGCTTTTGTTTGGCAATGCTACATAGCTTTAGAAGCTGATGAAGTGTATAATTTTTTTTTAAGTGAGAATTAAATTTAGGTCACTTTTAAAAAATGCCCACGTGTTCAAGTTGGCTGATATTTGTGGTTTTATGTGACAGATTCTGAGTAGTTTATGGTTTCAGCTACTTTTTTTTATAAGTACGATTTTGAGTAATTTTTCTGTCACTGTAGATCTTTAACTCAGGCTTTTAAAAAATTATGCATTTATATTATCTTTTATATGGTTTGTAGTTTATTCTATGTAATAGGCCACTAGAAAACCAGCCTTATATATTTATTTTTGAAATTGCATTAAGTATACTATTTCAAATTATCAAAAATTGAATAGTTCCTGGCACTTTATTAAATTTACATTTTATATTATAATGAATAATACATTAAGCTTTACACATTAAATACATATCATTTTACGTAGTCATTACAACAGTTCCTTAAAGAAGGCATTATTAGCATTTTACAGATAATATAGAACGGAACCCGAGTCCATTTGTTACAGTAGTCAGATAGTCAGGCATGAGCAGGGCAGGAGAGGGCTCCGCCTCACCACGAACATCAGGCAACCATCAGGTAAGGGTCAGGTGGTTGTTACCCGTCTCTCTAAAATAATAATTGATCACAGCTGGCACCAGCAGAAGGCAATCTCCCTATAGATAGAAAAAAAACTGAAACTGGTGATCAGCAGCTTTCTGATAACATCTCGGGAATTGGGGGAGTGAGCTCAAACATGTGAAGTGAGAGGCAGAAAGTTGGAGTTTAACTGGTAAATGACCTTTCTAGGAGCATTCGGCTGGTAAGGGAAGAATGCCTCAAGTGAGCATGTGTATAACTTCAGTAAACACACTGCACATGCTCAGCTTGCAAGTACTGGCAGGCCACTGCACATGCAGACACCCAACCCCAAGAGAAGAATCAAGGGAGAAGGGACGCAAGACCGCAGAAGTATGCCAACATATAAAACATATAAGTCAGGCCAGGCGTGGTGGCTCACGCCTGTAATCCCAGCACTTTGGGAGACTGAGGCGGGTGGATCACGAGGTCAGGAGATGGAGAACATACTGGTCAATATGGTGAAACCCCGTCTCTACTAAAAATACAAAAATTAGCTGGGCGTGATGACACGCGCCTGTAGTCCCAGCTACTCGGGAGGCTGAGGCAGAAGAATCTCTTGAACCCGGGAGGTGGAGGTTGCAGTGAGCCGAGATCGGGCCACTGCACTCCAGCCTGGCGACAGAGTGAGACTCCGTCAAAAAAAAAAAAAAAAAAAAAAGAAAGAAAAGAAAAGAAAAAAAAAAACACCCAAGTCAAAAGGTCAAACCGCACACTTGTCTTTTAAGTGGCCTGCTTGACTCTCTTCCAAGTGTACTTTACTTCCTTTCATTTTTGCCCTAAAGCATTTTGATAAACTTTTCTCCTGCTCTAAAGTTTGCCTTGGTCTTTTCTTCTACCTTATGCCCCTCAGTTGAATTCTTTCTTCTGAGGCGGCAGGAATTGACTTTGCTGATATATTTCGGTGCGCTGTGACTCGGATAACTTTCACCGCTAACATACATTGGCACTGCTTGACTGGGATCCATGCCCTAATGGTAAGAGATCTCTATGCCTCGCCTTCTTTGGCTGGAGGTGTTCAACACCCATACATGGTTTTCTTCTCCCTTTCTCTCTTCTGCTTACTAACTAACACCCAGAACAATTCCTTTCAGACATTAGTGACCCTGCTCCTCCTGGCTGATCTCTCAGCTCACCCTGATGGATGGCTCATCATAGTGGAAAGGACGTTGGGGTTCACATGGAGTAGGACTGAAGCACTAATGGCCCTCCTGGACAGGAAGCTCACGAGAATGCTAGAGCTAAAGTCTAAAACCGTGCAATGTCTGGGTTTCCTCTGCTTTTTCATCTCAAATTGGCTCTTTCCCAAGAATTCACAATGTCTATTCTCCTGTTTTCTCTGTGTGTGTTCTGAAATGGCCTTGCACACCTGCCAGACCATCTGCCTTGGGGGTAAGTCTGCTCTTTGCTTTCACTTTGCAGGTCACGTGACTTCTTAAATATACACTCCCTGCTATTCATGTGCCCACAGCTGTTTTACTGGGTTTGTGAGGCAGCAAAGACATGGGCTCCCTTGGGGATATCTCCTGAGATTTATATTTGCTTTTACCCTACCAGCTCGGATGAACTCCAACCCTTCCCCTTTCTGCTGGCACATTGCTGGGACAGACACTAATCGGAACTCTGGCTCTGTCAGGTCCTTATGACTTACCATATGATTTTCATTCCTGTTACTCCCCAGGGCCAAGTTTTCCCCTGTGCAGGTGGACAAACTGCTTCAAAAGCCACTGGTTTCAAAAGCCACTGCTTTTGAAGCAGTTTGTGAGCCTGCATAGGGCCTCACGCAGGCCCTTTAAGGATCGCACCTACTTGCTTTTTTTTTTTTTAGTTAGCACCACTTTGGGAAGAGAGGAAATTCTTCCTTTGCCATTTGTGAATTCTTTAAGTTCCGGGATACATGTGCAGGACGTGCAGTTTTGTTACATAAGTAAACATGTGCCATGGTGGTTTGCTGCACCTGTCAACCCAACACCTAGGTATTAAGTCCCGTGTGCATTACCTATTTATCCTGATGCTCTCCCTCCCCCCAACTCCCTGTCCCAAAAGGGCCCAGTGTGTGTCATTCCCCTTCCTGTGTCCATGTGTTCTCATTGTTCAGCTTCCACTTATAAGTCAGAACGTGGTGTTTGGTTTTCTGTTCCTGTGTGAGGATAATGGCTTTGGATTTGCTGAGGATAATGGCTTCCAGCTCCATCCATGTCCCTGCAAAGGACATGATCTCTTTCTTTTTTATGGCTGGATAGTATTCCATGGTGTATATATACTACGTTTTTTTTTTTTTTTTCAGTCTACCATTGATGGGCATTTGGGTTGATTCCATGTCTTTGCTATTGTAAATAGTGCTGCAATGAACATACATGTGCATGTATCTTTATAATAGAATAACTTATATTACTTTGGGTATATACCCAGTAAAGGGATTGCTGGGTCAAATGGTATTTCTGGTTCTAGGTCTTCAAAGAATAGCCACACTGTCTTCCACAATGATTGAACAAATGTATATTCCCACCAACAGTATCAAAGCATTCCTGTTTATCCACAGCCTCACCAGCATCTGTTGTTTCTTGACTTTTAATAATCACCATTCTGAGTGGCGTGATATGGTATCTCAATATACTTTTGATTTGCATTTATCTAATGATCAGTGATGTTGATTTTTCATATGTTTGATGGCCACATAAATGTCTTCTTTTGAGAAGTGTTTTTTCATGTTCTTTGCCCACATTTTTTTTTTTTTTTTTGAGACAAAGTCTCACTCTGCCACCCAGGCTGGAGTGTAGTGACGCAATCTCAGCTCACTACAACCTCCATTTCTCAGGCTCAAGCAATTATTTAGCCTCAGCCTCCTGAGTAGCTGGGACTATAGGCACCCACTGCCACACCCAGCTAATTAGCTTTTTTTTTCTTTTTTTTTTTTTTTAATAGTGGAGACACTTTCACCATGTGGCCAAGTTGGTCTTGAACTCCTGACTTCAAGTGATCCACCCACCTTAGCCTCCCAAATTCTTTGCCCATGTTTTCTTGTAAATTTAAGTTCCTTTTAGATTCTGGATATTAGATCTTTGTCAGATGGATAGACTGCAAACATTTTCTCTTCCATTCTGTAGGTTCTCTGTTCACTCTGATGATAGTTCTTTTGCTGTGCAGGTGATCTTTAGTTTAATTAGATCCCATTTGTCAATTTTTGCTTTTGTTGCAATTACTGTTGATGTTTTCATCATGAAATTTCTGTCCATGCCTATATCCTGAATAGTACTGCCTAGGTTGTCTTCTAGGGTTTTCATAGCTTTGGTTTTTACATTTAAGTCTTTAATCCACATTGAGTTAATTTTTGTATTAGGTGTAAAGAATGGGTCCAGTTTCAATTTTCTGCATTTGGATAGCCAGTTTTCCCAGCACTATTAATTAAATAGGGAATCTTTTTCCTATTGTTTGTATTTTTCATGTTTTTGAAAGATCAGATGTTTGTAGATGTGGTCTTATTTCTATTCTCTATTCTGTCCCATTGGTCTATGTGTCTGTTTTTGTACCAGTACCATGCTGTTTTGGTTACTGTAGCCTTGTAGCATAGTTTAAAGTCAGGTAGCGTTATACCTCCAGCTTTTTTCTTTTTGCTTAGGATTGTCGCAGCTACATGGGCTCTGTTTTGATTCCATATAAATTTTGAAGTAGTTTTTTTCTAATTCTGTGAAGAATGTCAATGGTAGTTTAATGAGAATAGCATTGAATCTATAAATTGCTTTGGGCAGTATGGCCATTTTTATGGTATTGATTCTTCCTATCCATGAGCATGCAAAGTTTTTCTGTTTGTTTGTGTCAAATCTGATTTCCTTGAGCAGTGGTTTGTAGTTCTACTTGAACAGGTCCTTCATTTTCTTTTTTAGCTGTATTCCTAGGTATTTTATTCTCTTTGTAGCAATTGTGAATTTGGAGTTAATTCATGATTTGGCTCTCTGCTTGTCTGTTGTTGGTGTATTGGAATGCCTATGATTTTTGCACATTGATTTTGTATCCTGAGACTGCTGAACCTGCTTATCAGCTTAAGAAACTTTTGGGCTAAAACAAAGGAGTTTTCTAGATAAAAGATCATGTCATCTGCAAACAGAGACAGTTTGAATTCCTCTCTTTTTATTTGAACGCCGTTTATTTCTTTCTCTTGCCTGATTGCCCTGGACAGAACTTCCAATACTACGTTGAATAGGAGTGGTGAGAGAGGGCATCCTTGTCTTGTGCCGGTTTTTAAGGGGAACGCTTCCAGCTTCTGCCCATTCAGTATGATATTGGCTGTGGGTTTGTCATAAATGGCTCTTATTATTTTGAGGTGTATTCCATCAATACCTAGTTTATTGAGAGTTTTTAACATAAAGGGATGTTGAATTTTATCGAGGACCTTTTCTGCATCTATTCAGATAATCATGTGGTTTTTGTCTTTAGTTCTGTTTATGTGATGAATTACGTTTATTGATCTGTGTATGTTGAACCAGCCTTGCATCCTGTGGATGAAGCTGACTTGATTCTAGTGGATAAGCTTTTTGATGTGCTGCTGGATTCAGTTTTCCAGTATTTTCTTTAGAATTTTTGTGTTGATGTTCATCAGGGATATTGGCCTGAAGTTTCCTTTTTTTGTTGTATCTCTGCCAGGTTTTGTTATCAGGATGGTGATGGTCTCATAAAATGAGTTAGGCAGAAGTCCCTTCTTTTCAATTGTTTGGAATATTTTCGGAAGAAATGGTAGCAGGTCCTTTTTGTACCTCTAATAGAATTTGGCTGTAAATTTGTCTGGTCGTGGGCTTTTATTGGTTGGTAGGCTATTTATTACTGCCTCAATTTCAGAAATTGTTATTGGTCTACTCAGGAATTCACCTTCTTCCTGGTTCAAGCTTGGGAGGCTGTATGTGTCCAGGAATTTATTTATTCTAGATTTTCTAGTTTATTTGCATAGAGGTGTTTATAGTACTCTCTGGTGGTTGTTTGTATTTCTGTGGGGTCAATGGCAACATCCCCTTTATCATTCTTTATTGTGCCTATTTGATTATTCTCTCTTTTCTTCTTATTAGTCTAGCTAACAGTCTATTTTATTAATTTTTTCAGAAAACCAGTTCCTGAACTCATGGGTTTTTAAAGGGTATTTTGTGTATCTATCTCCTTCAGTTCTGCTCTGATCTTGGTTATTTCTTCTCTTCTGACAGCTTTGGGGTTTGTTTCTTCTTGGTTCTCCCCAAAAGGGGAAACTTGGGAACTGATGGGACTATAGCCACCCAAACTTTTGATTCAGTGTCGCTGCAATGGCTGGGTCTTTCTCTGGTCTCCCTGAGCTCCTCACCTTTCCCACCCCACCACAGACAATGCTTTTCTTTCTTTTTATTTTTCTTCTTCTTTTTTTATTTTTATTTTCTCTCTTCTGTTACGCAGGGCGACTATGTTGTCCAGAGACCACATGTTGAAACTCCTGGTTGGAATCTTTCCACTGTACTTTCAATGGATTAAAGATGGCAGGGCCCAACTGGGGGCAAGTTTGAGTCTTGCCAGTTTGATATTGGGTGCTAAGCCAAGTAGCTGATGTCTGTTTTGTCATGCATATTTTGCTCTTGCTGAAATGGAAAATGTTATTTTGGTTACGCTCCGCAGCCACTTGCATGGCATCTTACAATATTGAGAGGCTTTTGGCCTGTGGTTTCATGAAATGGGAAAAGATAACTTTCCTTTGTGTTGCAGTTATGATTCAGCAAACAGGATCATGAGGGCCACTCAGAGAAAGGGAACCCAGAAACCTGGAATGCCGGCAAAAGGGTAAAAAATTTTCACCATTCAGATTTCTGGCCACCCTCTCTCTGTGCAAATGAGTTGTAGGAGTGGTAAAAAGCACTGTCTCCTCTGCAAAGTTTTCGTTAGTGAGAAAAAGGATTCATGAGGCCACTCTTAAGCTGCAACAAACCTGGTTTGCTTTCTGCTATGAATTTTTCTTTCTGTTTCATTCTTTCAAAAAGAGGGGTACCTTAGGGTAGAATGTGAATCTAGGATGCCTGTAAGCCCACTGTTCAAGCCAGCCTGGCAAACTGGTCAGTTACAAAATTTGCTGCAGTTCTGTGATACCAAAACAAAACAACAAAATAAAAAAGTGGATGAAGATTTTCTCTCGTCTTGTTTTACGTCCTTGAGAGCTTGATTTTGTAACCAGGTGGCAGTACTTTTTCTTCATCTTCAGTATCCAAATGGCAGAAATTTTGGAGTTCATGCCATAGTTAGCTCTAAGAATTATCCTGAGCAAGCCAAAAGCCATCGCAAGCTCCAAACTGACTGCTCTAGGCTCCTTCTGGGAAGAGCAATAAAAACTGCCAAATGCTGTAGCGTGGTAGCTAAGGCTTTGTCTTTTCCCAATGGTGACATGAGTTCAGGGTTCAATTCCTGGCTTAGGAAAGAGTACTTTCTGGTTGACATTTGTGTGACATTTGCCGTTTGTTGATTCTCTGCCCCTCCAGGAACAACTTGTGAGTTCCCTTCTTGAATTGTATTTCCTCTGAGCTAACTTCGGAGATTCTAGGTATTATAAAAACTGTTAACTGCCTCTTTGAAAATACCTTGTACACTCATGGTTAAGTCATAACTTTAGTTAAGGCCTATTGGTTTCACCTATGAGGTTTATTTTGGTAAAGTTTAAAAGCCAGGAATATTCGCTGTTTGGCCTAGCTAAAGTAGGGTGATAAGAGATTTAGAAAGATTTTTTTTAAGAGCACTGTGGTTAAAAGTCAGCTTAAATAAAAGCAGATATCCAAGTCCAAGCTATGCATATATTTAAAAGGCCTTTACATTTTTTTTCTCTTCTTGAATCATGTTTTCCTGAAAAAAAAAAAAAAAAAAGGTTTTTTTTTTCTTGTCAGTTGACTGAATAGTTGTTCTCCATTTTGTCTTCTTGCCACTCTTGATGCACACATAAGAGAACCTAAGATAATTCCTAAGACAGTTTCTCCTTGGGATAAAGAGAGGAGGCAATACAGACCCCATTTTGGGAAAAACTTCCTTTTTTCCTCATGAAGCTCCAGGAATCAAAAGCAGATAAAATTCCTCTCAAAATCTAAAGCTCTGTTCCACTTTGAATGATGTTATCTGATTTTTTTTTTTTAACTTTTGGGGGTATCAGAAATTACTTTGAATTATGAGAGAGCTTTGGTGTGTAATAACTGGGTAAGAAATATACTTTTAGGGATGGCTAATGGCAGTTATGGTGAGATACTCAGTGCTTTACACATTTGGATCAGAGAAGCGTGCTCTTGGCCACCTAGAAAGTCTGGAAATGATTCCACCTCTCACTGAGAGATAAGAATCCCATGGGAAATGGGCCGATTTTTCTCTTTTTTTGGGATCTAGGATCTGGTATAAAAATGGTACCCTTAACTTTTGGGGATCTGTTTTGCATCCAGCTATGACTGCTTATTAGACCCTAGAAACTGCATGCTTTCCTGACATTGTATCTCAAAGTGCTCCACCCTGAAGCCAGTAATCCAATTAAGAAACTTAAAAACTGGCAAATGGAAAACCTTACATTACTGGATTTTCTGTCTTTCTGTGTATTTATATGTGTTGTGTGTGTGATGTTTATATATGAAAGAGCTCCGATTAATTGGCTTAAAAATAATAAGTGCTTCAATCAAGTATTTTGCCAGAAAAATAAAAACTATAATGCCTTTTCATTCATGTGACTTAAGTAATGTTTGGGAATTAAAGACGGGTTTAAATATTAATGGTAAAATAAAAATATATTCAAAAATTTAGACATATTGTATAAATTATGCAGGTCAGATACTAGGTTTGCTAAATGCTGTAAGGTCATAAACTTATTCTTTGACTTTTGAAAATTGTCCAACTCACCTATTTTGGAGCCATCATAATCTATGTAAGGCCTGAGGACATGTGAAGTTAGCCATGCTCCCCTGGTTATGCTGCAAAGAATCAGACCTTATTCACACTTTCATTTGGTTTCCTAGGCTCCACACCTAGTACATAATTAAAATCACTTACTTACCAGGTTTTTCACCAAAAATAAAAGTTGCTAAGAGTTAACATTGTAACATTTAATTAAAACTACTAAAGAAAAAGTTTTACATGTAAGGTGTGCAAGGAAAGTGAAATGTGTTTTTTGTAAAAGATTATAACAAGCCAAGGTAATGTGTATATTTTTGCCTAGATTAAAGAATTCAAGTTTTGTTTTTCATTAGATGGAAAAAACCTGAAAGTTTGAACAAGTCATGGAAGGTTTGTGAAAAATTAATCTTGTAAAAAAGAAATTTGTGTGTGAAATTATTGGGTAAAGATAAAGGAGTATTATTCAGTTTTTCTATAAATTAAATATTGGAATAAAACCACAACAGGGTTTTCTTAGAGCATTGTGATGCTCTTTAACAAATAAAATTGTAAAGTGTTGTAAAAGGTTTATGAGAATCTTACCATAGAGTCGGACTGATTAAAATTGAATAGATTTGTCTATAAGGTTTTAAGAACTAAGTTTGACATCAACAATACACCAGTGCGAAGGTAATATTTGGCTTTCTTTGGGCTGTATTTCTATAAATGTGTTATGAGCATTTATTCCAATTTGTTCTATAATTCTGATATTAATTACTGTATGTTATTAATCATTATAATTGTTAGGTAAAATTGTTATGATATGCCAAAGAAGTAACCAAAATTCCTAGTCAATTGTGGCTTTAATAGAGGCTGCCCTAAGATGTCTTGTCATCCAAGGAAATTATTGTTTTCTTTTGGTCCTCTTTAGAAGGTGGTTTTATAACCAGCTATAAAAATCTAAGAGGTGTTCTTGAATGCAGCATTCTGATGACTTTGGAGACTGTGACATTAGAATTAGGGAAAGACTTTTAGGACTCTCATGGAGAGCTGAAATGTTTATGAATATCAAGCAGAACAAAAGTTAACTGTACACATGGCCTGACCTAATAGAAAACTAAATTAATTATTTCATGACTTTTTGCTTAAAATGTTGCTGGTATTTTGTTTTTCAAAGCCAGGAAAACTTTTCTTTTGAGCTATTTACATCTTTTAACAATTCAGTAAAATATACTCCTATAAATAATCTTTGGAGCATATTTCTCCTTACTGGATTTATTCAAAATTTGAAAGCTATTTGCGAGTATTCTTAACTAATGGCAATATAGTTATTTGCATAAATGCAATAAGAATCTGGTTTCTTTTACAACAGAACACAGTTGGAGGATCTGGTTATTTTACCAAGGCTTTGACTGGAATGGCATGCTTTCCCTTAAGGAATCAAATTTTACTTATAGAGCCAATAAAACCCCTTGGGTAAACTGTCTTCATACTTTGTCTACACAGTTCCTGTACAGGGTTGCTGACCTTTGGTAAGTAAAGAATGTCACTTTCTAATGGGCCCAGGAGCTTCAAGTTATCTTAGGACCTAAAGAGGAGAAGAATTTACCCAATCATACAGGTATTTGATGGCACCAATTCATGGCTAGGCTTAAGGCTTTAAGAAAACTCTTGCATGAGATTCATTATGGAATGAAGATCCATCAAAGTCAATTTAAAAAGGAGCCTATATAGAAAATAAACTTTCTGTGCTTTATGCCAATAACTTGCCAAGTATCATAAAACTAAACTTTATTTTGCAAACTAATAGTTACTTTAATTTTTTTTTAAATAAAAATGAGAACTGGAGGGATAAAAATCATGTTTCGAGCACTATGGTACATTTATTATTAGATTCTAGTCTCATCAGTTCTTTTTGAGTTTTTGTCTGCAATTTAGACTAACTCTGCTTATTCCTGTGAGCCAACTAGTGATTACTGTTTGTACCTCAGAAGAAACAAAAGGGATAGGCTATCAAGCTCCAGATAATCCTCAGTGAGGGATATCATCTTTTCAATATTCAGAGTCACTCTTCTACAGGGGACCCCTAGACTGCCCGTCAGTGAGACATAACAGAGGCAAAATCCTGCCCCTGTCTCCCTAGACCCTGGCTGGATACCACATTCAAACACCCATGGAGCCACCTTCCTGCCCTGACAGCTAGCAACAGGCCAAGACCCACAGAGCGATCCACTGCCTCTTTGTCAGCAGTGAAGAGTTACAGAAGACTGACCTTTGTCCATTTTCTCCAAATAATTGGGGTCTTAGGATCATGAGTGGGAAAATGCTACAATAGGTAGCTGGTCAGGCATGAGCAGAGCAGGAGAGGGCTCCATCTGACCAGGAATATCAGGAGACCATCAGGTGATGGTCAGGTGATTGTTAACTATCTCTCTCTAAAATAATAATTGGCCACAGCCAGCACCAGGGAAAGGCAGTCTTCCTAGAGATAGAAAAAAACCTGAAACTGGTGATCATCTGCTTCCTGATAAGATCTCAGGAGTTGGATGGCTGAGTTCAACCATGTACATGTAGAGGAAAAGTGACAGGGTTTAAATGGTAAATGACCTTCTAGGAGTATTTGTCTGGTAAGGGAAGAACATCTCAAGTGAGCATGCTTACAACTTCAGTAAACACACTGTGCATGATCAAATTCCAAGTACTGGTAAGCTGCTGTGCTTGTCAACAGCCCACCACAAGGGAGGAATCAGGGGAGAAAGGATGTGAGACCATGAATGTATGCCGGTATATAAAACCCCAAGTCAAAAGGTCAAACCATGAACCTGTCTTTCAGGTTGCCCACTTGGCCCTCTTCCAAGTGTACATTACTTCCTTTCATTCCTGCTCTAAAGCATTTTCACAAATTTTCACTCCTGCTCTAAAACTTGCCTCAGTCTCTTCTTCTGCCTTATGCCCCTCATTTGAATTTTTTCTTCTGAGGAGGCAAGAATTGAAGTTGCTGCAGAATCATACAGATTCGCTGCCACTAACAAATTTTCCCAGTGCAGTAAAACCACATATCCACAATGAGGTTTTTGCTGTGATAGAAAAGGTGGCATTTTTTTGCAGGGTTTCAAGCAAGGAGGGACAAGAAGCTATTGCTCCAATCTGGACCTCTCAGATGTCTTGCAGGACAAGATTTTAAAAGGCAGGGGTAAATTTTACAAAAGCAGAAGCTACATGCAAAATACTAAATCAATAGATAGAGGTTACACATTGTTTTTGGCCTAAAAATGTTGAGATAGCTTAAAGTAGAACCTTATGGGTTGTAGGTAGATTTAATGATTTCTGGATTTGCAATTGGTTAAGGAAGCAAAGCTTTGTTTAATAATTTGTGGTCAGCAGAAAAAAATCTTAACTGTCTCAGAAGTGTGAGTTCTTCCAAACCCCTCAAAAAAGAATATATTACAGAGAATGATGGTCACAATCCAGTCTTCAATGCCCCCCTATCTGAGCATTACATGTCAGTGGATCCATTTGGTGGGGGTCCTCAGTGGGGGGTTTCCATACGGCCATAGTTTCCATAGGGAAACTAAACATATCTGGACTCTAGCTTTCTTGGCTGTTGTTTAAATTACTGTCTCAGTCTAATTTCACACTGCTATAAAGCTACTACCTGAGACTGGGTAATTTATAAACAAAAGATGTTTAATTTACTTACAGTTCTGCATGGCTGGGGAGGCCTTAGGAAACTTAAAATTATTGTGAAAGGCAAAGGGGAAGCAAGGCACATCATACGTGGTGGAAAAAAAAGAGAGAACACAGAGGAGGCACTGCTACTTTTAAACCATCAGATCTCCTGAGAACTCTCTCACTGTCAAAAGAACAGCATGGGAGAAACCTCCTACATCATCCAATCACCTGCAACCAGGTCCCTGCCTGGACAAGTGGGGATTCGAGATGAAATTTGGGTGGGGACACAGAACCAAACCATGTTATGCTACTCTGGCCCCTCCTAAATCTCATGTCCTTTTCACATTGAAAAACCAATTATGCCTTCTCAACAGTCCCCCAAAGTCTTAACTCATTCCAGCATTAACTCAAAAGTCCAAGTCCAAAGTTTCATCGAAGACAAGGCAAGTCCCTTTCGCCTATGAGCCTGTAAAATAAAAAGTGAGTTAGTTCCTTCCAAGGTACAATGGGGGTTCAGTAATTGCATAAATATTCCCCTTTCAAATTGACCAAAGGTGTCACAGGCCCCATGCAAGTCTGAAACCCAGCAAGCAGCTATTAAATCTTAAAGCTCCAAAATAATCTATTTTAACTCCATGTCTTATACCCAGGTAATGCTGATGCAAGGGGTTGGCTCCCAATGACTTGGGTAGCTCTGCCCTTGTGGCTCTGCATGGTACATCCCCTGCAGCTACTTTCATAGGCTGGCATTGAGTGCCTGTGTCTTTTCCAGGTGCATTGTGCAAGCTGTCAGTGGAACTACCATCCTGAGGTCTAGAGGATGGTGGCTCTCTTCTCACAGCTCCACTAAGTGGTGCCCCAGTGGGGACTCTGTGTGGAAGCTCCAACCCCACATTTCCCCTCTGCATTGCCATAATAGAGGTGCTCCATGAAGGTTATGCCCCTGCAGCAGACTTCTGTCTGGACATCCAGGCCTTTCCATACATCCTCTCAAACCTAGGTTGAGGTTCCCAAACCTCAGCTCTTGGCTTCAGTGCACCTACAGGCCCAACACCATGTGGAAGTTGCCAAGGCTTCGGGCTTTCATCCTCTGAAGTGATGGCCTGGGCTGCATGTTTGTCCCTTTTATGCATGGGTGAAGCTGGAGTGGCTTGGATGTAGGGCACCAACTTCTGGGGCTGCACAGAGTAGCAGGGCCAAATGCCTGGGCCACAAAACCACTTTTCCCTCCTCAGCCTCCAGGCCTGTGATGGGAAGAGCTGCCATGAAGATCTCCGAAATGCCCTAGAGACCTTTGCCCCATTGTCTTGGTGGTTAACATTCGACTCCTCGTTACTTATGCAAATTTCTGCAGCCAGCTTGAATTCCTCCCAGGAACATGGGTTATTCTTTTCTACCAAATGGTCAGCCTGCAAATTTTCCAAACCTTTATGCTCTGCTTCCTTTTTAAACATAAGTTCCAATTTCAAACCATCTCTTTGTGAATGCATATAAGTGAATGCTTTCAGAATAAGCCAGGTAACCTCTTGAATGTTTTACTGCTTAAAAATTTCTTCTGCCAGATACCCTAAATTATCTCTCTCGAGTTCAAAGTTGAATGGATCTCTAGGGAAGGGGCAAAATGCTACCAATCTCTTTGCTAAAGCATAGCATAGCAAGAGTGACCTTTGCTCCAGTTCCCAACAAATTACTCATCTCTATCTGAGGCCACCTCAGCCTGGACTTTATTGTCCATATCACTATCAGCATTGTGGCCAAAACCATTCAACAAGTCTCTAGGAAGTTCCAAAATTTTCCACATATTTCTCTCTTTTTCTGAGCCCTCAAAACTGCTCCAAACTCTGCCTGTTACCCAGTTCTAAAGTCGCTTCCACATTTTCAGGTCATCTTTATAACAGTACCCAACTCCTACTACCAATTCTCTATATTAGTCCATTCTCACGCTGCTATAAAGACACTACCTGAGACTGGGTAATTTATAAACAAAAGAGGTTTAATTAACTCACAGTTCCACATGGTTGGAGAGACCTCAGCAATCTTACAATCATGGCAGGAGGCAACGGAAAAGCAAGGCACATCTTACATCACAGTAGGAGAGAGAGAAAACATGGAGGAGATTGCCACCGAGCAGGCCTTCTTAAAAGGAAGAGAATGCTCTAGGTGTATTTAAAAATATCTAATTTTTTCCTCACCCTGCCAGAAGTACACCCATTATCTTTACTGTGGAAATGTGGGATGTATCCAAGAGGTAAAATGCATAAAAGTTTGAGGGCCTCCTAAGACCAGGCCTCCTTGAAGGTGTTTTTCCTTTTAGCTCCCAGTCTTGTCCACGCTTAGCTTCCATCAATTTGTCAATTACAGTATAATTTGGGGGTAGGGTTTTCTACCCCATTACTAATATCCACGAAGTGTTTGCTTTTAATTTTATTTGAATAAGTTGTGATTCTTCATATGCACTAGAATGTGTTTCCAATTTGAAAAATAGTGTGGTTTTTTTTTTTGACTTCTGTTATTTGATGGATCGATGAAGAGTCTCTGATTTTCAGTTTTTTCAGCATTTTACTTGTCAGGACAGAGCGACTACTGCCAAGTCCTGTATTTATTAGCACATTAGGCTGAAATCTCTTATTTCCAATTTCTAATATTTCTCTTTGAGTATTTGTCTGAAATGTTCATATTTCCTATTGTAGAAATTTTAAACAAATTTGAATTAAGATAATACTAACATATCAAGAGCCAATAGCCTAAAGAGTCTTTCTCTGTATGATATATACGGAATAGTTTACATAAATTTCTAGCCAACATTGAAATTCAGTTCAAGAAATATTGATAAAATTATAAATATGGTGTACAAAGAAAATCTGCTTTTTGTTTTTCCTATAAATATAAGGTGAAGACATGAAATATTCTTAGGCAGCTAAAAACTCTAGGCATTATTGCCTACATATTTTTTATGCATTCTTTGCATCATTTGTTTTTACTCATTTATTCTACAAGCACCACCAATAAATTTAAATGAGATGTCACCTCCCATTATATATTACTTTATTCTTCTATGTGTCCTATTACATTGAGTGACACCAATATATATGTATTCTCCCAAGTAAAAAATGCCAACAGTACCTTTAAATACCTTTCCAGTACCAACCTGCCAAAGTTAGAGCATATAGCCCAGGAGTGCTGAGCTGAGACTTAAACCCCTAAAATCTTCTAGGATAAAAGCTAGTCAACTGAATATACCTTATACCACAATCAAATCCCCAAGGGCACCAAAGAAGATAAAAGCAAAAAACCCCATGCAAAAGCCAGCAACTTCAAAGATTAAAGGATCATACACCCACACACATAAGAACCAATGCAAGAACTCCAGCAACTCAAAAATCTAAATTTACCTACAAATGACAGCAGTAGTTCCCCTAGCAATGGTTCTCAACCAGGCTGAAATGGCTAAAATGACAAACATAGAATTCATAATATGGGTCAGAATGAAGATCACTGGGATTTAGTAGAAAGTTGAAACCCAATTCAAGGAATCTAAGGAATACAACAAAATAGTACAGGAGCTGAAAGAGAAAGAACCGAAATGATCTGATAAGGCTGAAAAACTCACCACAAACATTTCATAATACAATCACAAATATTGATAGCAGAATAGACCAAGCTGTGGATATAATCTCAGAGCTTGAAGACTAGTTCTCTGAATTTACCCAGACAAAAGTAAAGAAAAAAAAAATGTAAAAAATGAACAAAACCTTCAAAAAGCAAAAAGCATAGGATTATATAAAGAGACCAAATATATAACTCAAAGAGAGAAAAAGTGTATACCTAAAAGAGAGAAAAAGTGAGCAACAACAAAAAAACATGTTTCAGGATATCATCCACCAAAATTTTTCCAGCCTCATTAGAGAAGCCAAGATTCAAATTTTAAAAATGCAGAGAACCCATACAAGATACTGTACAAGCTGACCATACTCAAGACATATAGACATCAGATTCTCCAAGGTCGACATGAAAGAAAATATATTGAAGGCAGCTAGAGAGAAGAGGCGGATCATCAACAAAGGGTGCCCCATCAGGCTAACAGTGAATCTCTCAGCAGAAACCCTACAAGCCAGTAGAGATTGAGGACCTATATTCAGCATTCTTAAGAAAATAAGTTCCAACCAAGAATTTTATATGCAGCCAAACTAAGCTTCGTATGCAAAGGAGAAAAAAGATCCTTTTCAGACAAGCAAATGCTAACGAAATGTGTTGCCATCAGACCTGCCTTACAATAAGTCACTACGGGAGTGTTAAATATGGAAATGAGAGACCATTATTAGCCACCACAAAAATACACTTAAGTACACAGACCATCAACACTATAAGGCAACTACACAATCAGTCTGCATAATAATCAGCTAACAGCACGATGATAGGAACAAATCCTCACATATCAATGTTAACCTTAAATATAAACTGGCTAAATCCCCCAATTGAAAACACAGAGGGGAAAGTTCGAAAAAGAAGCAAGACCCAATTGTATGGTATCTTCAAGAGATCCGTCTCACATGCAAAGACACCCATGAGCTCAAATTAAAGGGATGGAGAAAAATCTACCAAGCAAATGGAAAACAACAAAAAAAGCAGAGGTTGGTAATCTAATTTCAGACAAAATAGACTTTAACAATGATCAGAAAAGGCACAGAAGGGCGTTACATAATGGTAAAGTGTTCAATTCAGCAAGACTCACCTATCCCCAAATATATATTTGCACCCAACACAGGAGCACCCAGATTCATAAAACAAGTTCTTAGAGGCCTACAAAGAGACTTGGATAACCACATAATAATAATGAAAAACTTCAACACTGTACTGGCAGTATTAGACAGATAATTGAGGGAGAAAACTAAAAAAAAAAATTTGGGAGCTGTACTTAACACTTGACCAAAAGAAGCTAAGAGATATCTAAAGAACTCTAATCCCACAAAGACATCTGGGAACTGAACTCGACACTTGGCCAAAACAACCTAACAGATATCTACAAAACTCTACACATGAAACCAACAGAGTGTACATTCTTTTCATTTGCTCATAGCCCATACTCTAAAATTGACCATGAAGTCTGCCATAAAACAATTCTCAGCCAATTTAAAAAAACAAAATTATAACAATCACACTCTTAAACCACGACACAATAAAAATAGAAATCAATACTGAGATCATTCCAAACCATACAATTACATAGAAATTAAACAATCTGCTCCTGCATGACATCTGGGTAAATAATGAAATTAAGGCAGAAATCAAGAAATTTTTTGAAACTAATGAAAACAAAGATACAACATATCAAAATCTCTGGGACACAGCTAAAGCTGTTTAAAGAGGAGAGCTTATAGACCTAAATAACCACATCAAAAAGTCAGAAAGATCTCAAATTAACAACCTAATATTACACCTAGAGAACTAGAGAAGTAAGACCAAACCAACCTTAAAGGTAGAAGACAAGAAATAAACAAAATCACAGTTGAAATGAAGGAAATTGAGAGGAGAAAAACCATGCAAAAGATCATGAAACCAGAGGTTTGTTTTTTTTCAAATAAGATTGATAGACCGCTAGCTAGACTAATAAAAAGACAAAGAAGATATAATTAAACACAATCGGGAATGACAAAGGAGACATAACCACTGACCTCACAGAAATACAGAAACACTCTCAGAGATTATTATGAATACATCTCTGCACACAAATTAGAAAACCTACAAGGAGTAAATAAATCCTTAGAAATACACAGTCTCACAAGATTGATCCAGTAAGAAATTGACACCTGAACAAAACTAACAATGTGTTCCAAAATAGAATCAGTAATAAGAACCCTACCAATCAGAAAAAGCCTGCACAAGAAGGATTCACAGACAAATTACACAAGACATACAAAGAAAAGCTGGTACCATTCCTACTGAAACACTTCTAAAAAGTGTGTTAGAGGAATGCCTCCCTAACTCCTTCTATGAGGCCATCATCACTCAGATACCAAAACTTGGCAGAGACAAAAAAAAAAAACAACAAAAAGAACTTAAGGTCCATATCCTTGATGAACATAGATGCAAACATCTTCACCAAAATACTAGCAAACTGAATGCAGCAGCACATGAAAAGGTGAATCCACCATGATCAAGTAGGCTTTATCCCTGGGATGCAAGATTGGTTCAAAATACCCAAATCAATAAATGTGATTTATTGCATAAAAAATATTAAAAACCAAAACTACATGATTATCTCAATACATGCAAAAAAGGCTTTTGCATGTATTGAGATGAAGCATTCTTATATGTTAAAAACCCTTAATAAACTAGGCATCAAAGGAGTATACTTCAAAATACCAAGAGCCACCTGTGACAAACCCACAGGTAACATCATACTGAATGGGCAAAATCTGGAAGCATTCCCCTTGAGAACTGAAATGAGACAAAGATGCCGACTCTTGCCACTCCTATTCAATATAGTATTGGAAGTCCTAGCCAGAACAGTCAGGCAAGAGGAGAAAGAAATAAAAGGCATCCAAATAGGAAGAAAGAAAGTCAATCTATCTCTGTTTTCAGATGATATGATTTAATGCCTAGAAAACCCCACAAACTTTGCCCAAAAGCTGATAGATCTGATAAAGTACTTCAGCAAGTTCCAGGATACAAAATTAATGTATAAAAATCAGTAGTATTTCTATACATCAATAACATCCAAGCTAAGTGCCAAATCAAGAATGCAATCACATTCACAATGATCAGAAAAATAAAATATCAAGAATACTACTGTATTGGGCTGTTCATGCATTGCTATAAAGAAATACCTGAGGCTGGGTAATTTATAAAGAAAATAAGTTTAATAGGCTCTCAGTTCTGCAGGGTATACAGGAATCATGATGCTGGCATCTGCTCATATTCTGAGAATGCCTCAGAGAGCTTTTACTAATGGCAGAAGGTAAAGCGGGAGCAGGCATGTTGCATGAAAAAATCAGGAGCAAAAGGAATGGGGAGGTGACACATAACTTCAAACAGCCAGATTTTATGAGAACTCATTCATTATAGTGAGGAAAGCACCAAGCCAAGAGTGATTCACTCTCATGATCCAATAGCCTCCAACTAGGCTCATTGATAGCTCCAACACTGGGAATTACAATTCAACATGAGATTTATGTGGAGATGAATATTCAAACTATATTAATATGCACCTGCTCCTTTCGAAGTTCATGTCCTTCTCACATTGAAAAATATAAATACACCTCCTCAATATTCCCCCAAATTCTTAACTCATTGCAGCATTATCTTAAAAGTCTCAAGCCCAAGTCTAAAAACTTAATGGAGATTAGGCAAGTTTCTTCCACCTATAAGCCTGTAAAATCACAAACAAGTGGTTTAGTTCCAAATTACAATGGAAGTATAGTCATTGGGTAAACAATATTGTTCCAAAATAGAGAAAACATCCAAAAGAAGGGGGTTACAGGACTCATGCCAGTTCAAAACCCAGCAGGGCAGTCCTTAAATCTTAAAGCTCCAAAAAATCTCATTTTACTACATGACACATATCTAGAGCACAATGGTGCAAAAAGTGGGCTCCCAAAGGCTTGGACAGCTGTGCAACTCTGGCTTTGCAGGGTTCAGCTCCATGGAGGCTCATGGGTTGTTGAGTACAAGCAGATTTTCCAGATGCAGGGAGAAAACTGCCAGTAGATTCACCATTATGGAAGCTGAAAGATACTGGCCTCCTTCTCACAGCTCCACTAGGCTGTGCCCTGCTGGGGGCTCTGTGTGGGGCTCCAAACCCACATTTCTCCTTGGAACTACCCTAGTAGAACTTCTCTGTGAGGGCTCTGTCCCTGTAGCAAGCTTCTGCCAGGGCACTCAGCTTTTCTCATACATCCCCTGAAATCTAGGCAGTGGGTACCAAGCCTCCTTTACTCTTGCACTCTGCATACTTGCAGGCTTAACTACATGGAAGCTGTTATGGATTATGGCTTTTACCCTCTGAAGCAGTAGCCCAAGCTCTATCTGGAGCCCTTTGAGGTGAATTTGGAGACAAAGTTACCACAATACAAGGAGCAATGTTCCGAGGCTGTGGAGGGCAGTGAAGAGCTGGGCTTGCCCCACAAAACAACTCAGTCCTCATAGGCCTCAGAGCCTGTGTTTGGAAGGGCTACTTCCTAGATCTCTGAAATACTTTCAAGATCTTTTTCCCATTGTCTTTCCCCTGATTCTTTTTTATTTATGCCAGTCTCTCTAGTAAGTTGTTGCTCCACGGCTGGCTTGAATTATTCCCCTGAAAATGCTTTTTATTTCTCTGCCACAAGACAAACCTACAAATTTCCTAAACTTTCATGCTCTGCTTTCCTTTTCAATATAAGCTCTGACTTTAAAACATTTTTTTTTTGGTCCTACATCTCAGCATAAGCTGTTAGCAGTAGCCAGGCCACATCTTGAATGTTTTGCTGCTTAGAAATGTCTTCTACCATATACCCTAAATCATCACTCTCAAATTCAAACTTTCACAGATTCCCAGGGTATAAACACAATGCAGCCAAGTTGTTTTCTGAGGCATAACATATGACCTTTGCTTCAATTTCTCATAAGTATCTCATTTTTTATCTGAGACCTTAGCAATCTAGACTTCACTGTTCATTTCACTATAAGCATTTTGGGTACAATCATTTAACCAGTCTCTAAGGAGTTCCAAACTGTCCTTAATCTTCCTATCTTCTTCTGAGCCCACTGAACTCTCTCAACTTCTACCTATTGCCCAGTTCCAAAGCTGCTTCCACCTTTTAAGGTTTATGTGTAACAATGTCTCATCCCTTGGTACCAATTTTCTGTATTAGGCTGTTCTTTATTGCTATAAAGAAATACCTGAGGCTGGGTAATTTACAAAGAGAAGAAGTTTAATTAGCTTATGATTCTGAAGGTTGTACAGGAAGCATGGTGACAACATCTGCACAGCTTCTGGGGAGCCCTCAGGAAATTTTACTCATTCCAGAAGATGAAGCATGACCAGGCATATCACATGGCAAAAGCAGGAGTGGTGGGGGGAGTACTGACATACTTTTAAATAACCACATCTCATGAGAACTCACTCAATATTGTGAGAAAAACAGCAACTCATGAGATTTCATTGCCCTTATCTAATCATCTTCCACCAGTCCCCACCTCCAACGCTGGTGATTAAAATTCAACATGAGATTAGGATGGGGACAAATATTCAACACTGTCAACAGCTAATGAGGAATGTGAAAGTTCTCTTTAATCAGAATCAGAAAACACTGCTGAAAGAATTCAGAGATGACACAATTTCATGCTCATGGATAGGAATAATTAATATTGTTAAATAACCATACTTCCCAAAGAATTGAGAGATTCAACGCTATACCTATCAAACTACCAATAAAATTTTTCACAGAATTAAAAAAAAAGCTATTCAAAAAATCATATGGAATCAAAAAAGATCCTAAAAAGCCAAATGAACAAAGCTGGATGAATCATATTACCCAACATTGTCAACAGCTAATGAGGAATGTGAAAGTTCAATAAAATTGTAGGCCATTATCCTAAGCAAATTAATACAGGAACAGAAAACCAAATACCATATGTTTTTACTTATAAGTGGGATTTAATCATTGAGTACACATGGACACGAAAAAAGGGAACACTGGATGCAAGGTCCTACTTGACGCTCGAGGTTAGGAAGAAAGCGATAATCAAAAACCTATCAGATACTATGTGTATTACCTGAATGATGACATTATCGGTACACCAAATCCCCGTGACATTCAATTTACCTGTGAAAGAAATCTGCACATATACCTCTTGAACCTAAAATAAAAATGGAAAAGAAAAAAAAGATGGGAACAATAGACACTGAGGGCTTCAAAGGGAGGTAGGAAGGAAGGGGGCCATGGGCTGAAGAACTTCCTATTATGTACTATGCTATGTCTTTGGATGACTGAATCAATAGAAGCCCTTACTTTAGCATCATGGAACAAATCTTGTACATCTTGTTAACAAATTCGCCTATGTACTCTCTGAATCTGAAATTAAAATTAAAATAAATTAAAACAAAGGCAAACAATATTGTGTGCCCAGTTAGTGGTTAGAAATAGATTTTTATGAAGTTGAAAGGTTTATCTTTATTTAGGGGCTTAAGGTGATCCATACAATTTTAGATTTATAATATAGGAAATAAGGTATTTTTTCACTGTAAACTCTGAAGAAAATTTCTCCATAATTACTTTTAATTTAAATGTTTTAAATATGTGGTTTAGTGGAAAAAAATCAGTATGCACAATAATTTATTTTGTAAAAATGAAATTTTTGTGAGAGAATGCAAGAGAAATTTGAAGATGTAATGACACAAGATCTGCCATATTTTAATATTTGTTTTTCAATAATTAATATAGGGTAATTATCTGTCCCTAAATAGAAAGACCAAGCCAGGTGGATCACGAGGTCAGGAGATTGAGACCTTCCTGGCTAACACAGTGAAACCCCATCTCTACCAAAAATACAAAAAAATTAGCTGGGCGTGGTGGCGGGCACCTGTAGTCCCAGCTACTCAGGAGGCTGAGGCAGGAGAATGGCGAGAACCCGGGAGGCAGAGCTTGCAGTGAGCCAAGATTGCACCACTCCACTCCAGCCTGGGCAACAGAGCAAGACTCTGTCTCAAAAAAAAAAAAAAAAATTATTATTTCTTTAAACTGGTATACTACTGCCAAAAAGTAGAAAATGGATTAGGTAGGTGTTCTAAATAGATGTCAATTTCTATGATTCCCTGAAAACATTTTATGGAGCACCAAAGTCCAACAGAGAAAGAATTAGTTTTAATTTTGTAAAACTGCAGAAATTGCTTTCTTTTTTTTTAATTTTAATTTTTAATTTCAATAGGTTTTGAGGAAAAGGATGGAATTTGGTTACATGGATAAGTTCTTTAGAGGTGATTTCTGAAATTTTATTGCATACATCACCCCAGCAGTGTACACTGTACCCAATGTGTAGTCTTTTATTCCTCACCCACATCCCACCCTCTGCCTTGAGTCCCCAAAGTCAACTGTGTCATTCTTATGCCTTTGCATCTTCATAGAAAGTTCCCTCTTATGAGTGGGAACATACAATGTTTGGTTTTCCATTCTTGAGTTACTTTATTTAGAATAATGGTCTCCAGTTCCACTTAGGTTGCTGTGAATGCCACTATTTTTTTCCTTTTCATGAGTAATATTTCATTGTATGTAATATATATATATATATATATATATATATACACACATATATATGCATATTAGGGCTGGTTCCATATTTTTAGAATTGTTGCTGTAAACATGTGTGTGCAAGTATCTTTTTTGTATAATAACTTGTTTACCTCTGGGTAGATACCCAGTAGTGGGATTGCTGGATCAAACAATAGATCTACTTTTTTTCTTTAAGAAATCTCCACACTGTTTTCCATAGTGATTGTGAGAGGTGAAGCCAACTGGAATTCCTGGGTGGAGTGGAGACTTAGAGAACTTTTCCATCAAGCTAAAAGATTGTAAACACACCAATCAGTGCTCTGTGTCTAGCTAAAGGATTGTAAATGCACCAATCAGCAATCTGTAAAAACACACCAATCAGCACTCTGTGTCTAGCTAAAGGATTGTAAATGCACCAATCAGCACTCTGTAAACACACACCAATCGGCACTCTGTGCCTAGCTAAAGGATTGTAAATGCACCAATCAGCACTCTGTAAAATAGACCAATCAGCACTCTGTAAAATGGACCAATCAGCACTCTGTAAAATGTGCCAGTCAACACTCTCTAAAATGGACCAATCAGTAGGACATGGGCAGGTCCAAATAAGGGAATAAAAGCTGGCCACCCAAGCCAGCAGCGGCAACCCGCTTGGGTCCCCCTCCACACTGTGGAAGCTTTGTTCTTTTGCTCTTCACAATAAATCTTACTGCTGCTCATTGTTTGGGTCCACACCACCTTTAAGAGCTGTAACACTCACCACAAAGGTCTGCAGCTTCATTACTGAAGTCAGGGAGACCACGAACCCACCAGAAGGAAGAAACTCCAGACACATCTGAACATCTGAAGGAACAAACTCTGGACACACCATCTTTAAGAACTCTAACACTCACCATAAAGGTCTGCAGCTTCATTCCTGAAGTCAACAAGACCAAGAACCCACCAGAAGGAATAAATTCTGGACACAATTGTACTAGTTTACATTCCTACCAACAGTGTAAAAGTGTTCTTTTTTTCACCGTATCCACACCAAAGTCTATTTTTTTTTATTATGTCCATTCTTGCAGAAGTAAGGTTGTATTGCATCGTGGTTTTCATTAGCATTTCCCTGATAATTAATGATGCTGAGTATTTTTTGTATGTTTGTTGGGAATTTGCGTATCTTCTCTTGAGAATTGTCTGTTCATATCCCTATCCCACTTTTTGATAGGATTGTTTGTTTATTTTGCTGATTTGATTGAGTTCCTTTTAGATTCTGGATATTAGTCCTTTGTCAAATGCATGGTTTGTGAAGATTTTCTCCCAATCTGTAAATTGTCTGTTTACACTGCTGATTATTTCTTTTGCTGTGCAGAAGCTTTTTAGTTTAATTAAGTCCTATCTATTTATCTTGTTTTTGTTGCACTTGCTTTTGGGTTCTTGGTCATGAAATCTTTGCCTAAACCAATGTCTAGAAGAATTTTTCCATAGTTATCTTTGAGAATTTCTACAGGTTCAGGTCTTAGATTTAAGTCCTTGATTCATCTTGGGTTGATTTTTGTATAAGGTGAGAGATGAGGATCCAGTTTCATTCTTCTACTTTTGGCTTGCCAATTGTCACAGTATATTGTTGAATAGGATGTCCTTTCCCCACTTCATGTTTGTATTTGCTTTGTTGAAGATTAGTTAACTGTAAGTATTTGGCTTTATTTCTGGGTTCTCTATCCTGTTTTTATACCAGTACTGTGCTGTTTTGGTGACTATATCCTTACAGTATAATTTGAAGTCAGGTAATGTGATGCCTCCAGTTTTGTTCTCTTTGCTTAGTCTTGCTTTGACTACGTGGGCTCTTTTGTGGATCAATATGAATTTTAGGATTGTTTTCTCTAGTTCTGTGCAGAACAATGGTGGTATTTTGATGGGAATTGCACTGAATTTGTAGATTGCTTTTGGCAGTATGGTCATTTTCACAATGTTGATTTTACCCATCCATGAACATGAAATGTGTTTTCATTTGTTTTTGTATGTCTATGATTTCTTTCAGCAGGGTTTTGTCATTTTCCTTGTAGAGGTCTTTCACCTCCTTGGTTAGGTACTTTCCTCAGTATTTTATTTTTATTTTTTGCAGCTATTGTAAAAGAGGGTTGAATTCTTGGTTTGATTATCTTCTTGGTCACTGTTAATGTGCAGCAGTGCTACTTATTCTCGTACATTGATTTTGTATGCTGAAACTTTACTGAATTAATTTATTAGTTCTAGGATCTTTTTGGATTTGTCTTTAGGGTTTTATAGATATAGAATCATATCATTGGCAAATAGCAACAGTTTGACTTCCTCTTCACCAGTTTGGATGCCCTTTGTTTTTTTTCTCTTGTCTGATTGCTCTAGTTAGGACTTTCAGTACTATGTCGAATAAATGTGGTGAAAGTGGGCATCCCTGTCTTGTTCCAGTTCTCAGGGGGAATGCCTTCAACTTTTCCCTGTTCAGTATAGCGTTGGCTGTGGATTTGTCATAGACGGCTTTTATTACCTTATAGTATGACCCTTGTATCCCAATTTTGCTGAGGGTTTTATCATACAGGGATGCTGGATTTTGTCAAATGCTTTTTCTTCATCTATTAAGATGATCATGTAATTTTTGTTTTTAATTCTGTTAATTTGGTGTATCACGTTAATTAATTTACATATGTTAAACCATCCCTGCAACCCTCAAAGATAACCCACTTGATCATGGTGTATTGTCTTTGTGATATGCTGTTGGATTTGGTTAACTGGTATTTTGTTGAGAGTTTTTGCTTGTAGCTTCATCACAGATATTGATCGGTAGTTTTTGTTGCTGTTGTTGTTGTTATATCCTTTCCTGATTAGTATTGGGGTAATACTGGCTTCATAGAATGATTGAGGGAGGATTCCCTCTTTCTCTATTTTTTTGGAATAATCTCAAAAGGATTGGCACCAATTCTTGCTTGAATGCCTGATAGAATTCTGCTGTGAATTTTTCTGGTCCTGGGCTTTTTGTTGTTGTTGCTGTTGGCAATTTTTTTTAAATTGCCATTTCAATCTCACTGCTTTTTACCGGTCTGTTTAGAGTTTCCATGTCTTCCTGGTTTAATCTAGGAGGGTTGTATATTTTTAGGAATTTTTCAGTCTTCTCTAGGTTTTCTAGTTTGTGCATGTAAAGGTGTTCAGGGTAACCTTGAATGATCTTTTGTATTTCCACGGTATCGGTTGTAATATCTCCCATTTCATTTCTAATTGAGCTTATTTGGATTTTCTTTCTTCTTAATCTTGTTAATGATCTGTCAATTTTACCTTTTCAATGAACCAGCTTTTCGTTTTATTTTTCCTTTGTATTGTGTTTTTTGGTGTTGTTTCAATTTCATTTAGTTCTTCTCTTATCTTTGTTGTTTTTTTTCTTCTGTTGGGTTTGGTTTTTTCTTGTTTCTCTAGTTCCTTGATGTGTAACCTTAGAATCTCTATTGTGCATTTTCAGACTTTTTGATGTAGGCATTCAATGTTATGAACTTTCCTCTTAGCACCACTTTTGCTGTATACCAGAGGTTTTGATAGGTTGTGTTACTATTACCATTCAGTTTAAATAAATTTTTAATTGTCATCTTAATTTTATTGCTGACTCAATAATCATTCATGGGAAGGTTATTTAATTTCTATGTATTTGCAAGATTTCAAGGTTTCCTTTAGGTGTTGATTTCCAATGTTATCCCACTGTGGGCTGAGAGAGTGCTTGATATAATTTCTATTTTCTTTAATTTATTGAGACTTGTTTTGTGGTCCATCATATGCTCTATCTTGGAGAATGTTCCATGTGCTGATTAATAGAATATATATTCTGCAGTTGTTGGGTAGAATGTTCTGTAAATATCTATTAAGTCCATTTGTTCTAGGGTATAGTTTGAGTCCATTGTATCTTTGTTGACTTTCTGACTTGATGACCTGCCTAGTGCTGTCAGTGGAGTATTGAAGTCCCCCACTATTATTGTGTTACTGTCTACTTCATTTCTTAAGTCTAGTCATAATTGCTTTATAAATTTGGGAGCTCCATTGTCAGGTTCATATATATTTAAAATTGTGATGTTTTCCTGTTGGACTAGTTATTTTTAATCATTATGTAGTGTCCCTCTTTGTCTTTTTTAGCTGTTGCTTTAAAGTCTGTTTTTTCTGATATAAAAATAGCTACTCATGCTCACTTTTGGTGTCAATTTGCATGGAATATCTTTTTCCACCCCTTTACCTTAAGTTAATGTGAGTCCTCATGTTTTAGGTGTTTCTGTTGAAGACAGAAGATACTTGTTTGGTGAATTTTTATCCATTCTGCCATTCTGTATCTTTTAAGTGGAGCATTTAGACCATTTATATTCAACATTAGTATTTAGATGTGAGGCACTATTCTATTCATCATGCTTGTTGTCGCATAAATGATTTTCTTCTTTGTGTTATTGTTTTATAGGTCCGATGAGATTTGTGCTTTAAGGTTCTATTTCAGTGTATTTCATGGATTTGTTTTATGACTTAGAGCTGATTTTATTAGTTCTTGTAGTGCTGGCTTGGTCATGGTGAATTATCTCAGTATTTGTCTGAAAAAGGCTGTCTATATTTTTTTCATTTATGAAGCTTAGTTTTGCTGCACACAAAATTCTTGGCTGATAATTGTTTTTATTTAAGGAGGCTAAAGATAGGATCCTGTCCCTTATAACTTGTAGGGTTTCTACTAAAAAAATCTGTTGTTAATCTTATAAAGGTTTTCCTTTATAGGTTACCTGACACTTTTGCCTCACAACTCTTAAGATTCTTTTCTTTATTTTAACTTTAGATAACCTGAAGCCTATGTCCCTAGGTGATGTTCTTTTTGCAATGAATTTTCTAGGTGTTTTTTGATCATTTTGTTTTTGGCTGTCTAAGCTGCTAGCAAGGCCAGAAAAGTTTTCCTTGATTATTTCTTCAAATATAAAGTTTGGTGCAAAAGTAATTCCAGTTTTTGCCATTACCCTAATATATTTTCCAAACTTTTAGATTTCTCTTCTTCCTCAGGAATAGTAATCATTCTTAGGTTTTGTCATTTAATATAATCCCAATATTCTTGGAGTCTCTGCTTATTTTTTTTATATTATTTTTATTTGTCTTTGTTGGGTTGAGTTATTTCAAAAGCCTTTTCTTTGAGCTTTGAAGTTATTTCTTCTACTTGTTTGATTCGATTGCTGAGACTTTCTGTATTTTGCATTTCTGTATGTGTGTTCCTCATTTCCAGAAGTTGTGATTGTTTTTTATTTATCTTATCTAGTTTTCTGGATATTTTTCTGTCCATATCCTGTTGTTTTCTCTGATTTATTCAGGTTGGTATTCACCTTTCTCTGGTGCCTCCTTGAGTAGCTTAATAATTGACCTTCTATGTTTTTTTTTCTGGCAATTCAGAGATTCTTTATTTATTTATTTATTTATTTTGGTTTGCATTCATTGCTCATGAGCTAGTGTTATCTTTTGGGGATGGTAAGCAACCTTGTTTTGTCATATTACCAAATCTGATTTTCTGGTTTCTTCTCATTTGGATAGACTATGCCAAAGGGAAGATCTGTGGCTCAAAGGCTGTTGTTCAGATTCTTTTGTCCCATGAGATGTTCCCTCAGTGAGGTGCTCTCCTCCTTCCCCTAGGGATGGGGCTCCCTGAAAGCCTGCAAAGAGCCCTGGGATATGATCCATCTTCAGATCTCTCAGCCACGGATACCACTACCTGTTCCAGTGGAGGTAGGAGGCGAGTAAAGGGGACTCTGTGAGGGTTCTTGGTTGTAGTTCTGCTGTTGTTGTTAGTTCCAGTTGCTTTATTTCTGCTTCTTATATTTCATCAAACAGAAGTAAAATTTTCTGGAGGTAGTTCTATTTTTAAAGACCTTTTTTAATTTATGTTTTTTTGAAATTGCAGTTTTAGTTTCACACCAAAATTGAAAGATACAAAGTTTTTATCTACCCCTAGGCACGTATAGCCTCTGTGGTTACCAACATTCCTCAATAAACTGATACATTTGCTATAATTGATGAACCTCCATTGGCACATTATAGTCACCCCAAGTCAATAGTTTACAGTAGGGCTCACATTTGGTATATCTTTTATAGATTTAAGAATGTATAATGTTTTTAAATTAATGTATTCATGATTATAGTATCACATAGAATATGTTCACTGCTCTAAAACTCCTTGGTGGTTTACCTATTGATTTCTCCCTCCCCTAAATTACTGTAAACCACTAATATTTTTACTGTCTCCGTAGCTTTTCTAGAATATCATAGTCAGAATCTTACAGTATGAAGCCTTTTCAGATTGGCTTTTGTACTTTCTAATATACAATTATGGTGCCTTTATGTTTTTCACGGCTTGAGTTTTTTTTTTTTTAGTGTTTAGTAATGTTTTCTTGTCTGGATATACCAAAGTTTATCTATTAATTTACCTACTGAGTGATGCCTTCATTGTTTCCAAATTTTGGAAATTATAAATAAAGCTGCTCTAAACATCTGTGTGCATGTTATTGTATGAACATAAGATTTTAACTCCTTTGGGTAAACAACAAGGATCCCAATTGCTGGATTATATAGTAAGAGTGTGTTTAGTTTTGTAAAACAAAATAACAAAAAACAAAAGAGAAAACTCTTCCGCAAAGTGACTATATGTCATTTTACATTTCCATCAGCAATAAGAGTTCCTGTTGCTCTACATTCTTACCAGCATTTTGTGGTGTTAGTGTTCCAAATAATGGCCATTCTAATGTATATGTGGTGTTATTTCATTGTTTTAATTTGTACTTCATTTATGACATAGTAGAGCATCTTTCATATGATTATTGACCAACTGTATATTTTCTTTGTTGTGGTATGTGTTCAGATCTTTGTCTTACTTTTTAATTGGGTTGTTTTCTTATTGTTGAATTTCAAGGGTTGTTTGTATACATTAGATAACGTTTCTTTATCAGATGTGTCTTTTGCAAATATTTTTCTCTGTCTGAGGCTTGTTTTCTCATTTTCTTAACATTGTCTTTTGCAAAGGAGAAGTTTTTTGATTTGAAAAAAATCTTCCCTTTAATTATTTATTTCCTCAATCATGCCTCTTGTGTTGTATGTAATAAGCTATCAGCATACCCAAGGTCAAGTAAGTTTTCTCCCATGTTATCTTCTAAAATTCTAATAGTTTTGCATTTTATATTTAGGTCTGTAATCCATTTTAAGGTAATTTTTTAAAGGTGTCAGGTCAATGTCTAGATTATATATTTTTCTTTTGCATAAGAATGTCCAATGTCCAGGTAATTCAGCATTACTTATTTATTGAAAAGACTATTTTTGCCCTGTTGTATTGTCTTGGCCACTTTGCCAAAGATGGGTTGACTAAATATTATGTAGATATACTTCTGGGCTTTCTACTCTTTTCTATAAATCTTTTTGTCTATTATTTTGTCAATACCATACTTTCTTTTTTATGGTAGCTGTATAGTATGTCTTTAAGTCAGGTAGTGTCAGTCTTCCAACTTTATTATTTTTCTTCAATATTGTGTTGGCTATTCTAGATCTTTTGCCTCTTCATATGAACTTTGCAAACATTTTGTTAATATTCACAAAAAGAGCTGCTGAGATTTTTATTGGTATTGCATTTAATTTCTAGATCAAATTGAGAAGAACTGACATGTTGACAATACTGAGTCTTTCTATCCATGATCTCAGACAGTATTTGTTCATTCTCACACTGCTATAAAGAACTAGCCAATACTGGGTAATTTAGAAAGAAAGGAGGTTTAATTTACTCATAGTTCTGCATAGCTTGGGAGGCCTCAGGAAATTTACAATCATGGTGGAAAAGGAAGCAGTCACATCTTACAAGGTGGCAGGTGAGAGAGAGAGAGTGTGTGTGTGTGTGTGTGTGTGTGTGTGTGTGTGTGTGTGTGTTTGTATGTAGGAGAAACTATCAAACACATAAAGCCATCAGATTTCATGAGAACTCACCCACTATCATAAGAACAGCATGGTGAAAACCACCCTTATGATCAAATCACCTGCCACCAGGTCCCTCCCTTGATGCCTGGGGATTACAATTTTAGTTGAAATTTATGTGGGGATACAGAGCCGAACCGTATCACAGACTACCTCTCTATTTACTTAGCTCTTCTTTAATTCCATTCAAAAGAGTTTTATAGTTTTCATCATATAAATTTTATCTATATTTTATTAGATTTCTACCTAAATATTTTAGTTTTTTTGTGTACTAATGTCAATGGCACTGTGTGTTTCATTGTAAATTCTATTTGTTCATTAATGGTATATACAAAAGTGATTGACTTTTGTATATTAACCTTACATCTTGGAACATTACTATAGTTGTTTATTAGTTATATTGTTTACTATAATTGTTTATTTTTTGTTAAACTTTTCAGGTTTTCTACATAGATGTTCATGTAATCTGGGAACAAGGACTTCCTTCTAAATTTATAAATATTTTATTTTATTTTCTTGTCTTACTACATTCACTAATACTTCCAATATAATGCTGAAAAGGAGTAGTGAGAGAGGACATCCTTTCCTTGTTTCTGATCTTACTGAAAAAGTTTTGAGTTTCTCATCATTAAGTATAATGCTAGCTATAGAGATATTTTTGTATATATTCTTTAAAGGATTGTGGGAAGTTCCCGACTATTCTTTCTTCACTGAGAGCTTTCAGCATTTATGAAGCAAAAGTAGTCTTTACAGTTTTGTCAAATATTTTTTTCTGCATCTATAGTTATATTCATGTAAATTTTTAAACAATTTTAAATATTTTTTACCTTAAAAATTATCTTGTGGATGTAAAGTATTTTATTAATTGATTTTAAAATGTTGAACCAACTTTGCATACCTGGGATAAATCATACTTTTTCATGTCATATAATTCTTTATATACATTGTTGGGTTTGATTTGTAAAAGATACTGGTCTGCAGTTTTTGTTTCATGTTATCTCTTCGTCTGGTCTTTGTCAGACAACGCTGACCTGATAGACTCAGTTAGGAGGTATTAACTCTCTTCCTTTTTCTGAAATCAACTCTAGAGAATTGTTACAATTTCTTCCTTAGATGTTCGGTAAAATTCAACAGTGAATTCATCTGGCCTGCTGCTTTCTGTTTTGGTAAGTCAGTAATTATTGATTCAACTTTTTTTTTTCTTTTTCTTTTTTTTCTTTTTTTTTTTTTTTGAGACGGCATCTTGCTCTGTCACCAGGCTGGAGTACAGTGGTGAGATATTGGCTCACTGCAGCCTCCGCCTCCCGGGTTCAAGTGATTCTCCTGCCTCAGCCTCACAAGTAGCTGGGACTACAGGCACACGCCACCATGCCCGGCTAATTTTTTGTATTTTAGTAGAGACGAGGTTTCACCATGTTGGTCAGGCTGGTCTCAAACTCCCGACCTCAGGTGATCCGCTCGCATTGGCCTCCTGAAGTGCTGGGATTACAGGCGTGAGCCACCGCGCCCGGCCTCAATTTTTTTAATAGATAAAAACACATTTTTAAATTGAGTTGTTTGTTTCAGATTTTCTATTTTTTCTTGTATGAGTTTAGGCACATTATCTTTCAAGGAATTTATCTCTTTCTTCTAGGTTGTGTGTAGGCATAGAGTTATTATACTTTTAGTATATAGGATTGGAATGATGTTCCCTCTTTTAGTTCTGATAGTAATAATTTGTGTCCTTTATTTTAGTTACACTAGGTTAAGATTTATCAATTATGTTAACTTTTTCAAAGAACCACCTTTTAGTTGTATTGATTTTCTCTATTGATTTTGTTTTTCATTATATTTCTGCTCTAATTCTAATTTTCTTTTCATCTTACTTTGAATTTAATTTGCTCATATTTTTCTAGTTTCCTAAGTTGTAAACTTAGAAAGTTCATTTTAGATCTTTCTTCTTTTCTAATATATGCATTAAATGCTAAAATTTTCCAATGCAAAAACTCTTTTGCTACATTCCACAGTTCTCATAAGTTGTATATTTATTTTCATTTAGTACAAAATATTTTAAATTATCTTGAGATTTATTCTGTGGCCCATATATTATTGTCTTGTTTAATCTCTAGAGATTTTGGAATTTTCCAGTTATCTCTCTACAATTAATATCTAGTTTAGTTCTATTGTTGCCTGAGAGCATACTTTGTATAATTTCTATTACTTTCAATTCATTAAGGCATATTTTATAGTCTAAAATATGACCTCTGCTGGTGACTTTTATATGTGAGCTTGAGAAGAATGTGTATTTTGCTGCTATTGGATGAAGTACACTATAAATATTAATTATATTTGCTTGATTGATGGTACTGTTAAGTTCAACTATGTGCTTAATTGCTGATCTTCCAGTCTGTTCAGCTTTTTATTTTTAGATGGAGTGGTAACTTCTGAGATGCTTATATGCAACACCAGAAACTGGAAGTTTGTGCAGCTTTTAAGATAATTTGAGGATGTGTTCCAACATCACAGTTCGCATTCATTAAAATACAATTTAATAAAAGATCAATTTTATATCTTTCCAAATTAATTAGTGTATGAGATTTAAATAACCTTGTGTAGGAATATCCTGATTAAATAAATTATTGGCCTTTAAGGTAATATTCATCAAACTTCATAATGTTACATTATTTTAAAAGTTAGCAAGCAGTCTTATATATGTCTGTATGTATATATGTATATATATAACTAACTCATACTCATGATCTACTCTACTGTATATTACTATATATTATAATGTTTGAAAGATAGAAAAAGTATGAGAAAATCAATGACACAATATCTTTGCTGATATTGAAAATATTAGCAACATGCAGTAATATAATGAGCAAAAACAGTAGCAATAACATATAGTGATTGCACCATACATATACAGGCATATCTTGTCTTATTACACTTTGCTTTATTACTCTTCATGGATCTCTTGTTTTTTGCAAATAGAAGGTTTGTGGCAACCATGCATTCAACAAATCTATTGGCATTATTTTTCCAATAGCCTGTACTCACTTTCTGTCTCTGGGTCACATTTTGGTGATTCTGATAATATGTCAAACATTTGCATTATCACTATATATGTTATGGTGATCTGTGATTAGTGATCTTTGATGTTACTAATTAAATTATTTGGAGGTACCATGAACCACGCCCATATAAAATGGCAAACTTAATTGATAAATATAGGTGTTCTGACTGCTTCATTGACTGAAATTTCCCTCATCTCTCTCCTTCTTCTCAGGCATCCCTGTTTCCTGATACACAAAAATATTGAAATTATGTCAACTAATAATCCTACAATGGCCTCTAAGTATTAAAGTTTAAAAGAAGATTCACAAATCTCTTACTTTAAATAAAAAGCCAGAAATATTTAAGCTTAGTGAGGAAGGCATGTCCAAAGCCAAGACAGGCTGAAATCTAGGCCTCTTTTACCAAACAGCCAAGTTGCGAATGCAAAAGAAAAGCCATTGAAGAAAATTAAAAGTGCTATTCTAGTGAACACATAAATGATAGAAAAGGGAAACAGCTTTTTTGCTGATATGAAGAAAGATACAGATAAGGCCCTAACAAAACAAAGCCAGATTTTTCAACAGACACAAAACACTGTCTATTCGAATAAGATATCCTCTAGGTCTTTCATAGCTAGAGAGGAGAAGTGAATGACTGGCTTCAAAACTTCAAAGGACAGGCTATCTCTCCTATTAAGGACTGATGCAGCTGATGACTTTCTGTTGAAACCTCACTGAGGTTAAGGTGAGCTTAATGAGCGTAAATTGAATATTAGCAATATGCAGCAATACAATTAGCTGTTATGAAAATCCTAGCGCCCTTAAGAATTATGCTAAATTGACTCTGCCTGTGCTCTGTAAATGGGACAACAAGGTCCAGATGACAACCGAACTGTGTACAGCATGGTTTCTTGAATAATTTAAGCCCACTGTTTGTACCTACTGCTAAAAAAAAAAGATTCCTTTCAGAATATTACTGCTCATTGAAATGCATCTGGTTACCCAAGGGCTCTGATGGAAATATACAGTAGATTAAACATGTTTTCATGCCTACTAATACAACATCCATCCTGCAGCCCATGGATCAAGGTATAATTTTGACATTCAAATTTTATATTTAAGATGTACATTTTGTAAGGCTATAGCTGCCATAGACAGCGATTCCTCTGACAGATCTGGGCAAAGGAAATTGAAAATTTCCTAGAAAGGATTCATCATTCTAGATGCTAGAACATTTGTGATTCATCAGAGAAGGCTGAAATATGAACACTGACAAGAATTTGGAAAAAAGTTGATTCCATCCCTCATGGCTGACTTTGATGTATTCAGGCCTTCAGTGAGAAAAGTAACTGCAGATATGGTGGAAATACTAAGATAACTACAATAATGGAGCCTGAAGCTATAACTAAGTTTCAGAAATCTTGTGAAATACGTGAGTGAATGAGTAGTTGTTTCCTATGGATGAGCAAAGAAAGTGGTTTCTTGAAAGGGAATCTGTTCCTTATGAAGATGCAATCAACAAAGCTGAAATAACAATAAAGGATTTGTAATATTACGTAAGCTTAGTTGATAAAGCAATGGCAGGGTTTGAGAGGATTGACTTCAATTGTAAAAGAAACTCTATTGCAGATAAAAAGACATCACGTACTACAGAGAAATCACCCATGAAAGAAAGAGTTAATCAATGCTGCAAACTTCACTGTTGCCTTATTTTAAGAAATTGCCACAGCCTTCCCAATCTTCAGGGACCAATATCCTGATTACTCAGCAGCCATCAACATCACAGCAAGACTCTTCACCAACAAAAGGATTATGATTTGCTGAAGGCTCAAATTATCATTAGCATATTTTAGCAATAATGTATTTTTAAATTAAGGTATGTACGTTGTTTATTTACACAATTCTGTGGCAGACTTAATAGATTACAGCACAGTGTAAACAAAACATTTGTGTGCACTGGGAAACAAAAAATGTGCGACTCCATTTATTGTGATATTCACTTCATTGTGGTCATCTGGAAACCAACCTGCACTATCTCGGAGGTATGCCTCTTATAACAATAACAAATCTAGTGACAACAATATCAATGAACATAACAAATCCGATTAAATAATTATTATTTTTCTCTGTTACAAGGCTTACTAAACATCATAGTATTAGTACATATTTCAGCTCTGCTATTCCCTTGCTATTTTCTTATTCTATATATAGTATCTTCAATACATGGTTACATTGTAGCAACGTTTTAAATACACTTTTCTGTTTTGTAAGGGTGCCTTTAATTAAAACAAGGTATTATAACTGGTAACTCCACTCAAATAGGCAAATTAATTTGACTGATTTTACAATATGATATAAGGGAAAAAATTGCCTTTATGACTTCCTCTGTCTCACGGAGCTGTAATTCTGCCCTCAGTGTGCTGTGAGAATCAGGTGCTACATGTTACTCTGACAGAACCAGTGAGAATATTAATATTACTTAGTATAGAATATATTAGTAAAGGCTATTTAGTTCCTGATTGTTTGCATGAAGATGAATAATAACTTCTCATTTTTTTCACATCTCAGTAGATTATCTTGATGACGCAGCACTTTAGAGTCACTTTTTCTTATATTTTTTTACCCATTTAAGATTTCCTAAAGACTCATATTTCGGCTCTAGTTTTTTATTTTTTCATTTTTATTTTATTTTATTTATTTATTTATTTATTTTTTGAGACGGAGTCTCTCTCTGCTGCCCAGGCTGGAGTGCAGTGGCGCATCTCCGCTCACTGCAAGCTCCACCTCCCGGGTTCACGCCATTCTCCTGCTTCAGCCTCCCGCGTAGCTGGGACTACGGGCACCCGCCACCACGCCCGGCGAATTTTTTGTATTTTTTTTTAGTAGAAACGGGGGTTTCACCATGTTAGCCAGGATGGTCTCGATCTCCTGACCTCGTGATCCACCCGCCTCGGCCTCCCAAAGTGCTGGGATTACAGGCGTGAGCCACTGCGCCCGGCCAGGCTCTAGTTTTTTATTTGATTGATTACTGATTAAAAATGTTCTGGATTCTTTCAAAATACATGATTCTCAACAATCCCATATTATAATTAGGATTAACATCACAATTTTACAAATGAGAAAAATTGAGCATCAGACTGGTTAAATTACTTGCTGACATCCCTCAGCTAATAAATACTGAGTGAGCTTGATTAAAACAAAGTGTGATTTAGAGCACACATTGTCAAATATTGCACTATATTGTCTCTTCATTCAGGGATTATTCAGCAAGTAGTGGATAAATTCATACTGAGCTGATATATGCAATACAAGTGGTAATAATAACAAAAATAATTAGTCATAGTATTAGAAAATAATCTTTACTATGCATTTACTATATATGAAGTAAGGACTACGTGTTTTATATATTTTTTCTCATTTAATTTTCATTACAACCCTAAAAATTGGATACTCTTTAGCCAGCTCAGGCTTCCATAACAAAATATCATCAATTGGATAGCTAAGCAACAGAAAATTAATTTATTATAATACTGGGGACTAGAAGTATGAGATAATTATGACAGTATGGTTGGATTCTAATGAGGGCTCTCTCCCTGGCTTCCAGCTGGCTACCTTCTCTCTCTGTCATCATATGGTAGAGAGAGAAAAAAAGAGACGGGGTGGTGATTGTGTGTGTGTGTGTGTGAGAGAGAATTCTCTGATGTCCCTTTTGATAAAGGCACAAATTTGCCTCACTCTCATGACCTCACCTAAACCTAATTATCTCCCAAAGGCCTCTTCTCCAACGACCATTAATTGAGGGTTAGAAATTCAAACATGAATTTGGGAGTGGACACAACATAGTACATAAGAACTCTTATCATTCTCATTTTGCAGATGAAGAAATAGATGTCAGAGATGTTAACTCGATAAAGGTTACTTAGTTTGTGATGGGCCAAGCAGGAACTTGAATATAGGCAACCCGAAGATGTATTGCAAGGAGATATTCAAAATGCAGATGAAGAAATGAGAGTTCGGTGAATATTGTAATTATTTTAATGGAATTTCCACAGTACTCCTATCAGACCATTTGATTTACTTACCTCAATAAAAAACACATTTTAGTAGGAGGTTTGGTCTGTTGGAGAAAAAATTCATGGTTTAATTAATTGAAATTTTCACTTTTAAAGAGGTTTTTTTTTTCCTGAAGGCACACTGATAATACTAAATATTCAGCCCATGTAACATATTAAAATGTTTAGTACATTAATCATAAGTGTGACTTTGAACACTATGGCTCTTCTGGGTACTCTTCAGGGGGAAATCAAGTGTAACATTTTCCAGGGATTCAGTCTGGAATTAATAATATGGATTATGTGTCACGTTTCATCTGTGCTAAATAAAAATGGGAGAAACATTGACTGTAGCTCTTGGCGAGGATACGGAAGCAATGGTTAAATGTTATTTGAGTAATTATAATGCAAAATACCAATCGGAAGAACTGGTTATGAACTTATCTTTAAATAAAGATGCTCAATTATATTTACCAATACCACTAAATTAGTCATAAGCTCAATTTGTTATTAGTTATAAATCAGATCATTGTAAAATTTAAAGCAGTAATTTTAATGAATAAAAAGTTATCTATTATAAATTGAATATTTTTGATAATTAAAAACTAAACGGCCTATCCAAATTATAGCTCTGTTGAAGTATGGTTTATAACCAGGTAAAGCATAACAGAACTTTGACTATCTCAAGGGTTTTTCTCTCTGGTGAAGTCATAATTGTTACACCGATAACATTCCATTCCATTGTTTTTTACGTCTATACTTACTCTGACACTTATCATGCTGTCTTTATTAGTGTAGCTAATAAAATATTTAATATTAGTATATTAAATTAAAAATAATAAAACATTAAAGAGTCTGAATAAAATCATGCTTTATTGCTTCAACTTCTTATCTGGACTAAACCCATTTTATACTATTACAGAGAACAACATTCACAGTACCAAAGGAAGAGAAACAACAACACACACCAATTTATATTATATCACAAAGTTCCCCAGCATAAATGGCAATATTCTCTTTCCCAGGAAGCATCATAATAAACATTTCTTGAATTATAGAAATAAGCTTACATTTTGTAATTTCAGCTTTTCAAATGATAACCGACACCCCATACACAGCTATTAGCAACCAATTCTTTTCACAAATGTGATGAATCTAAATTCTTATTTTCTTTTGTTCTTCTTTTTCTTTTAGTTTCTCCTCTAGAGTCTCATAAACTATGGCTGTACCTATCTATATTTAATTCTGTGTGCACTATTTTTTTCTAATTTCAATTACGCATTCTTCTATCTATCTGAATTTAATTATAGCTTCATTACTTTCTTTTAATATTGTGTTACTTATAAAATTAATAATGCTTTTCTTTACAAAATAAAATAACTTCTCAGAATACTTGTTATAAAAGCAATAAAAGGCTGGTAATGCTTGGTCCTGACTGTAATCCCAGCACTTTGAGAGGCAAAGACAGGAGGATTGCTCAAGGCCAGGAGTTCGAGACTAGCCTTGGCAACATAGCAAGACCCCATTTCTTCCAAAAAGAAAAAGCAATACACATTCACTCTAGACTAACTAGAAGTGGTAGGAAAGAAAAAGAAAATGGGAACTACTCATAAGCTTTTCTCCAAGAAAAATAGTTAGTATTTTTGAATACGTTTTTCCAGTCTCTCCCTCTTTCTCCTCCCCTTTCTCTCTCTCAAAAAGGATAAATAAATAGAGAGATGACACTGAAATAGCAGTATAGAGATAAAGATATAGAAACATAGAGATAACAGTCTTAATTATTTGTAAGTTCCATATTTGCCATTTTGGCTACTAACTAAAACTTGTTATACCCAAATTAATACAGCACTTTTACTGTCATTGAAGGATATGCACAGAGCAGTGAAAAAAAATTTCATCACTTCATGCACATATTCTTAGCTAAGGTCAAACAATGAGACACTACCTTGTTGTTTCAGCTCTCCTACTGTAAACAAGCATACGTTCACGGTCGATTTAGTGCCGTATTTTTTTTCAATGTTGTGCTTTTTATACGTGATTTCACTGTCTAAAATGATCCCCAAGCACAGTAATAAGGTGACATTTACAGTTCCTAAGTGCAAGAAGGCTGTGATGTGTATTTTCACCTCGTGGAGAAAATACCTGTGTTAGAAAACTTTAATTCAGGCATGAGTCATAACGCTGCTGGCCATGAGTTCAATGTCAATACATCAACAGTATATATTAAATAAGCTGTCTTTAAACAAAAACACACATAAAACAATGCTATATATTGACTTGTTAACAAATATGTTGTGACCAGAGGCTCAAAGAAACCCATTTATTTCCCCTAGGAGAAATGGATCAGTATTTACTAATTAAATGTTCACAGCAACTTTACAGAACAAAACTACAGTGAATAATAAGAATCAACTTTATATTTTTTACAAAGATCCTATAGTACACACGGATTTGTTGCACTTTTACTCTCTATATGTTTTTCTTTTCCCATAACATCACCTTTATTTATTTTTTAACTTTGTTTTTCTCTCCAACTTTTATTGTAAGTTCAGAGGGTACCTGTGCAGGTATATTACATGGGTTAATTGCATGTTGCAAGGGTTTAATGTACAGATTATTTTACTACTTGGGTAATGAGCACATCACCCGATAGGGAGTCTTATGACCCTCACCTTCCTCCTACCCTCCACCCTCAAGTAGGCCCCGGTATCTATTGTTTTTTCCTTTGTGTCCATATATACTCAATATTTAGCTCCTACTTATAAGTCAAAATATGCAGTATTAGATATTGTGGTTCTGTGTTAATTTGATTAGAACAATTGCCTCCAATTACCTTCATATTGATACAAAGGACATGATTTTATTTTTTCTTATAGCTACATAGGATTCCACTGTGTATATGTACCACAGTTTTTTTTATCCATGCCACTGTTGATGGGTATTTAGGTTAACTCCATGTCTTTGCTATTGTGAATAGTGCTGCAATGAACATATACATGCATGGTTATTTATAGTAGAAAGATTTATATTCCTTCGGGTATATATCCAGGAATGGGATTGCTGCATTGAATGGTAGTTCTGTTTAAGTTCGTTGAGAAATCCTCAGACTTCTTTCAACAGTGGCTGAACTAATTTGCATTCTCGCCAGCAGTGTATAAGGGTTCTCTTTTCTCCACAATCTCACCAGCATCTTTTTTTGTTTTGTTTTGTTTTGTTTCTTACTTTGTAGTAATAGCCATTCTGACTGGTGTGAGATTGTAAATTATTGGGGTTTTAATAAGCAATTTGCTAATAATTAGTGATGCTGAGCATTTTTTCATATGCTTTTTGGCCACATGTATGTCTTCTTTTGAGAAGTGTTTGTTCAAATCTTCAGCCCAATTTTAAAAAATGGGATTGTTTGATTTTTGCTTGTTGATTTGTTTAAGTTACTTATAGATTCTGGATATTAGACCTTTGTTGGATGCATAGTTTGCAAATATTTTTTCTCATTCTGTAGGTTGTCTGTTTACTCTGTTGATAGTTTCTTTTGCTGTGCAGAAGCTCTGAAGAGCTTCAATTAGGTCTCATTTGTCAATTTTTGCTTTTGTAACAATTGCTTTTGCAGTCTTTGGCATAACATCAATTTTATTGACTACATAAATACTCTTTTAATGTTTGATGCAAACAAATCTGTAAGAACATCTATTAATTTTTTATGTATCTTGTTTTTCTTTTAACTATTTAAACAAGGTTCTATGCTACTCCTCTTTCTCTAAGATTTTGCTACTTGATGACCTTCTCAGAAATGTGCAAGACAAAGCTGAAGTTAGTTTTGTTTTCTTGTTCTTTAATGGCTTATGCGTTTCTCTTTTTAACTTGCTGCTTTCCTTGGAACTTAAAAATAACATTTTTTTTCAAAGCAATAGCAGCTCATCTTCTTCGCCTTGCAAAAATTATATTTTTTCTTTTCTTTTTTCTTCCTTAGCTATAGGTTCTGGTTCATTTCTATTTTTTTCTCATAACTTATGCTTAATTAATTAATTGTTAATCTCTTATTTTCCCTTCATCATTGTTTAAAGCATGTCTTGATAAAACTCTCTTATGCTGTTTTCTGTATTATTTTACATACTCAATATTTTTTCTCACATTCCTTTAGTCAAATGCTGCTAGCTCAGTTATGTCAGATTCTCTTTCTTCTTTGGTTTTCAGCATTGGCTTAGTCATGATAACATGATTTTTGTTTTATGACCTTATCTTTGGCAAATGTCTTAAATATCTTATTTCTTATAATGAATTGTACAATCTGTATTATCTCAGAAAGCAGTCTTTCTTTAAATAAAAATTGTTCAAGATGGCCTTCTACATTTTAATTACTTCTTAAACTACCTCACAGCTCATATGTACCAGCCCTATTGTCAAGCAAATGTATCTTTGTTCCTGTGATGGGTAATTTTATGCGTCAACTTGACTGTCTTAATGAACATCCAGATAGCTAGTAAAATATTATTTTTGTGTATGTTTGTGAAGCTTTTTCCAGAAGAGACTGGTATTTGAGTGAGTATGCTGAATAAAGATGATCCACCATTGCCAATTTGAATGGGCATCATCCAGTCCACTGAGGCTCAAATAGAATAAAAAGGCAGAAGAAGAGTGAGTTCACTCTCATTTTCCTTGAGCTGGAATAGCTATCTTCTGCTGCCCTTGGGCATTGAAACTGCTGGTTCTTGGACCTTCAGACTGTGGGACATATTAGTGCTGCCTCTTCTTGGTTCTCAGGCCTTTGGCCTTGGACTGAGAGTGATATTATCTCCTCCCCTGGTTCTCATATGTTTGGACTCAGACTAAATTATACCATTGGCTTTTCTGATTCTCCAGCTTGAAGATGGCATAGAGGAAATTCTTGGCTTCCGTGATCACAGGAGCCAATTCTCACAATAAATCCCCACTTGTATGTATGTATATATGTATGTATGTATTCTGTTGTTTCTGCTTCTCTGGAGAACCCTGACTAATACAGTCCCCATATGAAAAATATTTGACAATTTAACACAATCCTACTTGTGCAACATTCTTTGTAAATAACTGTATTGTTCAATCCAAACTTCCTTTCTCATTTATGGATTTATGGGATGAGCACATTTCTGAAGAAAATCTATCTTATATCCACTTAGTAGAACCACCAGCTATGATTTTCAAATGTTACGGGTTATCTTTTATTGATGCATTTTCAAGTGTCAGTCTCATTTCTGTACATGAGTTGACAATCATGTCAGTTATTTACTCATAAAAATTAAGACAACAACAAATAAACCTCTTCAATAAGACTAATTATATAGGAAATCAGCCTAATTCAGCCTATATGTAATAAACATAATACACTTATTTAGAAATTAATTAGATTTCCAACACATACTCTCTCTGTGTATCTACTTTTAATCATGTGTAAAATATAACTTTACTACAAAGACTTTACAAGGCCATGCCTAACCTTATTCTACCACAGCTCCCTCAATACACTTATTCTCATTTAATGTGTGCAGAAAGCAAAACAAAAATACCACCATTGACTCTTCTTCTCCCTTTTATCTCCCAATGTCCTTTATTTAACTTCTCTTTTATTTAATTCTGCTCCAAATCTTATATTGATTTATGTGGTTTCCTTTATAGATTGCTTTTGAAGCTGATGAATGGCACTAAATATCGGCCTCAAATATGAAATATTAATATGTTATTAAATAATATCAGGGGAATAGCACTTTTCTGTCCTGTGTTATTCAAGCCTCTACAAGGAAATCACTTCTATTCCCTGAACTGCCTTTAGGGCAGTTCTATATGACATGTGCACACTCACTCAATACTTGCTCACAACTTCCATCTCCTGCACTGCTTGTGCCTCTTTACAACTCAAGCAGACCTAATGGATTTTTTTCCCATTTCTCAACATAGATAATGTTAGCTTAACTTAAAGTAGTCCTACACTCTGCCTAGATGTCATATGAGTAGTCATTTCTATCAGGTATAATACATCTACATCTACCAGGTATAACTAATTAGTTAAGCTGTCTCAACTTCTTGAAACAAACTAAAGCTCTGGTTATCTACATGAAAGTGACTGATTGTAAGGACACAGAGAAAAATAAAGAAAACATTCAGAGGAAATCTATTGGTGGGCAATCTGAAATATTCCAGAAATGGTAAATACGATTAGCTCAAGAGAGTAGTCACCGTTGATTGAGTACCAATATAGAGACTTATTTGGCTTCAGGCATCTGTCCTTTACAATATTTAAAGTAGTTGAAATTAAGACTTTAGAAAACTACTAAATCTTCAACGATTACCAAAATATCACTTCAAGTGAACCAAATCAAGGACTACTGCATATAGAATTGAGACAAATGTATACAACTGATGGAACTTTTATCAGTTGTTTCAGCATATTCTTTTTTAATTTTTAACTTTTGTGGGTATTGTTGTTGTATATATTTATGGAGTATATGAGGTGTTTTGATACAGGCATGCAGTGCATAATAATCACATTATGGAGAATGGGATACCATCCACTCAAGCATTTATCCTTTGTGTTACAAACAATACAAATTATACTCTTTTAGTTATTTTAAAATGTACAACTAAATTATTGTTGTATTACTGTCTATAGTCACCCAATTGTGCTACCAAATAATAGGTCTTATTCCTTCTTTCTAACTATTTTTTGTACCCTTTAATCATCACCCACAACCTCTCCAATTCCCCACTATGCTATCCGGCCTCTGGTAACCATCCTTCTACTCTCTATATCTATGACTTCAATTATTTTGGTTTTTAGATACCACAAATAAGTGAGAACTTACAAAGTTTGTCTTTCTGCGCCTGGCTTATTTCACTTAGTATAATGACCTCCAGTTCTGTCCATGTTGTTGCAAGTGACAGAATCTTTTTCTTTGTGGCTGAATGCTACTCATTTGTGTGTAAGTACTACAATTTTCTATCCATTCATGTGTTGATGGACACTTTGGTTGCTTCCAACTTTTGGCTAACAGTGTTGCAACAAACATGGCAGTGCAGATATCTGTTCAATATATTAATTTTCTTATTTTAGGTATATACCAAGCAGTGGGATGGGTGAATAATATGGTAGCTCTAGTTTTAGATTTTTGGGGAGCCTCCAAACTGTTCTCCATAATGGTTGTGATACTTTACATTCCCAAGAACAGCGTAAAAGGGTTCCCTTTTCTCCACATCCTTGTCAGCATTTGTTATTGCCTGTCTTTTGGATGTAAGCCATTTTAACAGAGGTGAAATGATATTTCATTGTACTTTTGATTTGCATTTCATTTTCATATGCATGTTTGCCATTTATATGTCTTCTTTTGAGAAAAAGCCAATTCAAATCTTTTGCCTATTTTGATCAGATTATTACATTACTTCCTGTAGACTTGTTTGAGCTTCATATGTGTTCTTGTCATTAATCCCTTGTCACCAGTTCATGGTGAAGGCCAGTAATACCTCTGTTGTATTTCACCAGGATTCTATTAAGTAGGATAAATTAGTTAAAATTTATGTACATCTTTCCTAAGTTCATAAATTTTATTTATGAAGAAGATTTTATAAATTTAGATAAACATACATATAAGTCATAAAGGCACTATAGTAAGCCTTGTGTCATGTGCTGGTTTTCCTATGCACTAAGTTTTCTGGTTATAGAATTTAAGATGACTGATTTGGGAGCTTAGTGGAGTGTTACTGACTGTTAATTGGAAACATTCTCTGGATATTAAATAATATTTGACAATTTTTACTAGCGTTTCTGTTTAAAAATGCAAACGTTGTATTTCTTTGTTTTGCTTAAACAAAAAACTTATTCATATATGATTTGCCAGAAATTAGAATATTTATTCTGTAAATTCAATACAGAATTTTATGACAGCTTCCTGGTGTTTGCATCCTTGGGCATAATTTGTGTTTCTAGGAAATAAGGAAGTTAGGTTGATTAAGAATTTAATTACCTCACATTAATAATGCCAAGTTTCCTGCTTAGTAGATCCTTCATATCCTCAAGGAAATCAAACTGATACTATATAGAAAATCAGAGACACTATATCACAATAGTTATGTCACAGTGGCCTTTTTCATTTTTCTACAGATTATCTTCTATAAAAGCCATTAAAAGCAATACATTGAATCGTTCTTCTGGGAGCAAACTGTGTAAACTTTTTAAGAGGAGTTCTTAATCTGGGGAAATTCAGGAATATGCAAATGTGATTGTAGAAAAAACTATATTTCTTCACTAACCTGAACATTAGTATTCTCCTCTATTATGGATGTAAACAACAAATCACAGCAAAATTAGTTGTCCTATGACTTTGTTACCCATAGAAACCATGAGTATTTTTACATCATATTACTCTTGCTGCATGAAAGATCATGAAATATCATTTACACTTATCACAACTCCAAATTGATGTCAGCTAGTATATCTTGTTAATTAATGGGATAACACAAATAATATATATTCTTATTTCCATAACTATATTACCATAAAAATATTTCCATAACTATATTCCCACATAATTTGTTTTCTTCATGAATCTGTGTATTTTATTTCATCTGTTTTAATGTGTGAAACCCAAATATCTGAGACAGGTCTTGGTTAATTTAGAAACTTTATTTCGTCAAGGTTAAGGATGTGTACCCATGACACAATCTCATGAGGTCCTGACAACACTTGCCCAAGGTAGTCAGAGCACAGTTTGGTTCTATACATTATAGGGGGACATGAGACATCAATCAACATATGTAAGATGAACATTGGTTCAGTCCAGAAAGTCAGGACAACTCGAAGCAAAGGAGGGAAACTGAAATCAGAGATGGGGCTTCCAGCCCATAGGTAGATAAGAAAAAAAAATGTTGCATTTTTTTGAGTCTCTGATTACCTGTTCAAAAGGTGGCAATCAGATATGCATTTATCTCAGTGAGCATAGGGGTGACTTTGAATAGAATGGGAGGCAAGTTTGCCCTAAGCAGTTTCCACTTAGACTTTTCCCTTCAGCTTAGTGATTTGGGGTCCTCAAGATTTAATTTCCTTTCACATTCCTCCCCCACTCCCCGCCACCCCGCCTTTTCTTTTTAAAAACGTTTCAGAGAAAGCATTTTAGAAGAAAAGAGTCTCTGGACTCAGATTATATCTGATCTCTCGTAGTTAGTGTGTTTATTCCTAGACAGGTAGATCCCAAGTTATTAGGAAAGCTCATTTTTAAGCAGGTTGGGAAGTCTCATGTTCTTTGAAGATAAAACAAGAAGAGGTAGGGAGAAAAACAACCACAAACAAAAGAACAATCCTGGAAAATCAATATAGGTCACATTACTCTGACGTCCATACATCAGTAGGAAGGCATGAAAGTGGTTTATGCATGTAAATAGGTTTCTGTTATTCTCTTCTGAAGTTTAAGCTGTCTAGCTTCAGTTTTCAGGGCTTTCAGAAAGCATAGCTTAGTTTTCAGTGATTCCAAAATAGGAAAAATGGGGATAAGAAGAAGGAAATAATTGAAAACATTATTATGAAGACTTGTAGCCAAGAATAGTTAAAATTCAGTCCAAACTGTAGAAAGTAATAAAAATTGAAAAACATTAGGCAATACTTGAATCTAAAAACAGGTGTACTATAGCTTTTGAAACATAATTTTTCTCTTTCCAGTTTCTCATGTTTACTAAAGAAAAATCATGGTAGTACTGATTTGCTCTATTATACTAGGCTTATTTGCATACAGTGCAGCAATAATAATTATTTTTATATAGGCTTTAAATTGGCTTTGATGGAACTTTGTTCTATAGAACAATCTCAGATAAGACTTTTTTAAATCCAAGCCCAGCCATGGATTTGTACAGTCAAATATCTATGACTTGGGTGAATTCCTCTACTCTTGAGGTTCCAAGATAAACTGGGGGATCCTGGGCTTGTCAGAAAGTGACATTCTTTACTTACCACAGGTCTTTAACCCTGTACAGGAACTGTGTAAACAAAGATATGAGGCCAGTTTTCCCAAGGGGTTTTATTTGCTCCATAAAACAAGTTCAATTCCTTAAAGGAGAATGCACCATTTCAGTCAAAGCCTTGGTAAAATAACCAGTTTTTCCAATTGTGGCCTGTTATAAATAAAAGCAGATTCTTACTGTACTTATGCAAATAACTGTATTGCCATAGGTTAAGAATACTCATGAAGAGTTTCCAAATTTTGGAGAAGTCAGGTAGAGTGAAACAAGTATGTTCTAACTTTTGTTCATAAGAGTATACTAAATCATTAAAATCTGTCAATAGCTCCAAAGAAAAGTTACTTTTGACTCTGAAAAAACAAAACCAACTATCAGCAACATTTCAAGCAAAAAGTCAAAAACATTACTTCAGTCTTCTATTAGTTCAATCCATGTAGTTAATTTCTGTTCTGCTTGATATTCATGAAGACTTCAGTTTTAGGGCAGCCATAGTGAAAGACACAATTGACAAGGACATTTACTATGTCTGAGGCACACAATAATTTAACACAATAATTATAATTATTACTGATAATGCTAAGTCATATGAGAATTACAGGAGTTTCACATAATTTTGGAACACATACCAATAACATATTTATATAAATACAGCCAAAAATAAACCAAACACCATTTCGTATTTGACAATGTTTTTATTCTATTCTGATGTCACAATCTCCAAAGTTATCAGAAACCTGCATCTGAGAGCACCTGTTAGAGTTTTATAGCTGATTATATAACCACCTTTTAAAGAGGACCAAAATAAGACAACAATTGTCCATGGATGACAAAAAGTTTTAGGGCAGCCATAGAGAAAGACACAATTGACAAGGAAATTTGTTATAATGCTAAGTCATATGAGAATTGTAGGAGTTTCACATAATTTTGGAACACATGCCAATAACATATTTATACAAATACAGCCAAAAGGAAACCAAACACCATTTCGTATTTGGCAATGTTTCCTGTATAATTTTTATACCAAGTAAGCCAAAAGTATGTCATTTTTGAACTTTAGGGAAACTAATATCTTAAAGGATTAATTAGATCAGAAAAGGCATAGTTTATAATTTTGTTTTGGAACGTTTGTCAAATATCAAAGGTTTAAAACACTTGATATCATAGGTTATTTTAAAATAAGATAATCATTTCACAAGTGATAACTTGAGTTTTTTAAAAAAGGCAAAACTTTCATTCTTTGAGAAATGAGACTTAATTTTCCAAACAGTAAGCCCTAATGAAAAAAAGCATAAAGCCAATTAAATTTGTTTTTGAAAATTTACAGACAATCTATAAAATTTTAATCTTAACCTTAAGATATAACTTCCATAAGCCTTTTATAATCTTTATTAAAGAATCGGTTAATGTTTTTAGAAAACCTTGTTAATCTGACACAGGGGCCATATGCTGGTCTTGCATTAGTGTGCCTTTGACATTCATGATTCATTTATAGAGAAACTGAACTTATTTTATCCCTCAAAACAAGCCCTTACAATCTCACATGCCCACCCCTTCCATGATAGTCCTTGGAACTTGAGGAGTTGAATAGCTTTAATTTCTGGCCTTGTGTCTCAGAAATACAGTTTATTTTGATCAACATCTTCTACCAGCCCTGATGACGAGGCTTCAATTGCTGTCAGTGTTTAAGATTCCGCAGGACTTGATATCTTTTTTAGACCCAGGAGTCAAAGCATTGTAACTCAGTGTCACAAGGACTTTAAAAGCCCACAAAGGAAAATAAATGGATGTAATAACTGTAATTTTATTTAAAAAAATTTTAATCTCAGTTGTTTTTCCTAAGCAAAGCAAAACTTAATAATAATGGCATAGGACTTTTTTCAATAAATTGTAAAATCTATTAGGCCAGTTACCAAAAGGCAAAAGAAAAGACCTTCTGCACTGCACATAATATTATGCTGGAAAAAAAAATATTTTCTTCATACCTTTAAGAAAATATTGTTAGCATCAGGCCACAAGAAAAGGAACTTGAGGAAAAAACTTATATGAGCTGAAAAATCAGTTGGAGAGTGTTACGATTTCTCACCCTTTAAAAGGGGAGAGAAAACTGAAAATGGTGAGATACAATAAAAGTTGAACTTTGAGTTAAAACAATTAAATTTCTCATAATTTATTACAAATAAATCAATCCCTTAAGAAAATTTTATTGTTCTAACCAATTATTTTGTGTATAAGTGTTTTTTTACATGAAGCCCAATCACTAGAAAGACTATTATAATTACTCTTTAATCATAGACAACCTGACTATATGAAAGATTTTACATTTTTTATATAAATCCTCCTATTTTGAGTTACAGAGACTGTTCATGCATGCTTGGAATTTCTGGTTTGTCCTGAACATCTCTCTTTCTTAAACAACCAGTCATATTATTCTAATACTAAATTTACCATACAAGATTTCTTTCTCATATAAAATTATTTCTCTTTAAGCTTTCTTATCAAAAGAAAAAAAACCCTATCTCTCTATTTTTATAACTTTCTTATATCTCTGCTGTCTCCTGGTTCCTTCTACCTTACTTCATAATCTTAAAATAAGCTTTAAATTAGAAAAAAAATTGCTCACATTTTCTAAAGAGACACAGTTTTTTTAGAAAAAAATATTTTTCTACAAATGTTATTGGAAAATACACAATGAAATATCTCTCATTTAATTTAATGTAGCTTTTGATTCTAAATTATGATCAGTTTGTCTACAAGTATTTATCTTATTACATTTATCTAATTATTTTATTTTAATTATCTAAATTATTAATGAAAGCTGAACTTATGAAACTGCCATTGCAAAATTATAACTGAGACATCTGGCTTCCAACTTTCAAGCTGTCCTTGTTCATTCATGATCATAGGCCAAACTAACTTTGGAAGAAACTTATTATATATTTTAGCTTTGAAACAAAGATGATAACAGTCCATTCCAAAAACAAACCTTACTGCCTGTGGACTAGACCGCCTAAAGCCACAGAATTAGAAGTTATAGTAATCTTATTAAATTCAAGATGCAGCTGTTTTCATTAAACCAATATCAATGTATTATTTATTAAAGATTGCACAAGCAAAAATCATTCTTTTTAACCCGTATTTCAAATTTTAACACCTTATAGTATTTGGCAGAGATAAGTATAAAAATGGTTGATTAAAAAATGCAAACAAAAATGTATGCTAGCCATTAAGACATTTCTAATATTACTTTAACAATAATTTTAAACCTAGCTTATTTCTTAAAGATTTTACTTGTTACATAAACTCGAAAAAGCATCCGACTAGTATTTTCTTTTTTCCTGACAAAGTATTTGATTCAACCACTTTTATTTTCTTAAGCCAATTAATTAATTAGAGCTCTTTATATATTTTCAGTAATAAAACATTGGGTACAAAACACATATATACATAGACATATTAGGCATACCAATAGAAGTACATCTTATAGATTCATAAAATTTTTTTCCCTATCTTAGACTTTTAAATTTTTGATAAACAGTTCCAAAACCTTAGACAATTTTCAGCTGAATAGCCTTAAATTTGCATATTAAAGGAAATAACTAAGGTGAGAATCAAATAGCAAAATTTACATCCTAAGGTACAGAGAGAAAAAGTTTGGTGTGCTCGAGGGAAATTCAAATGGACTTAATTGACAATTGAACATAAAATTATAGAAATTATAAATGCCTCTTAAATATAAACACACATCCATATACACACACATACAAAGATCCTATAACTTTTACTTCAGAACTGTAGCCATGAGGTAAATACAAATTCATCAGCATGAAAAAAAAAAAAAAAGAAAACCTGTTAAATCCAAACAGCAGTTTTTATCTTAATAGAAAAATAGCAGTTTTAAAGCAAGAAGAAAAAAAAATAGAGAAAAAGAGGACTTGGGAACTCTGTAGTTTGCAGGTCATCCTTAGGGCTCGTTTTCCTTAATGTAAATGTGCATAAAGAACATATTACTTCCATTTCACATAAGCTCTGGCAAGTAGAGGTGCCATAAAACCTACAGAGTGCTCACAAGGGGGTCATTCACTTTGCTTTCTCCTCATTCTTAGATCGTTTCCCACTTCTTTTTCTTAAAAGAAGGAACTGAGCTGTGGCCTAGGGTTTTTTTCTGGTGGGTAGATGTGTGCTGCTTGTGTGCAGGACTCCACATTATGTCACCACTGAGTCATTTTTAACCTCTTAAAATATGTCTCAGTGCCTCTCTCCAGAGATATATGACCTCTGAGAGGGCTCAAAACAACAGGTGACCAGCACTTACATGCATTCCCTGGATAAGCCTTTTTGTTTTAATTAATTTTTGTTGGGGATTTTTCTGTAGGGCTGCTGCATGTCACAGCAGGTCAACTTCCAGACACTCTCACAAGGCCCTCGTCACCCAGGGATACCTTTAAGCTAGAAAGAGCAAACTGTTCTTTCTTTCTGGAGCTGAGAAAACTCAGTCTGTCATTTGCCTATGAAAAGAGCAGTTCACTTTATCATGCAAATGAGCAGACAAGTCAAATCAGGATTAATTTTGGGAGAAAAAGCAATAGAGAAGACCTTATAGAATTCATCTCTGAACTAGAATTAGGATCTTTAAACTACAACTTCTTAAAATTAAAATAAAAAAAATAGCCGAGACCAATTCCTGTATACTATGCTCAGCTACCCCTAACTTTGTAGCTCTCATCTGCCATTACACAGGCCAAGATCAAATCTTCTCACAGTACAAAGTCATCTCTGGTACCCCCAAAGCCAAAGAGGTAAGGTCATGCAACACAGAAAAACAGCTTTCGCCCTAAGAAGAATGTGTCCATGACTCTTGAAACTCCACAAGGAAAACAGAACACCCAAAAGGAATGAGTGGTGTCTTTGTTCTGAATTTTTTAAAGGGGTTCAAGTCATTAGAAACTTTCTCTAGATTTTTTGGTACTGCAGATGCAAAGGAGAAAGGAGGTATAGGCTGAAAGAAAAGTAAATAAAATAACTTTTTTTTTTTTTTAAGACAGGAAGAAAACACAGAAACCAAGTCCATGGGGTTTTTGTTTTGTTTTGTTTTTTGGAGTTGTTTTCCCTATTTTGCAGCTGTGAGACATTTTAGCCAAATTAGAGAGGCTTTGTTACCCATAATTTGGAATTCTCACTTGAATTTGACCTAGTCGGGAAGAGTTGGTCAAATCCAATGGGAGAAAGACTGGAACAAACAACAACAACAAAAAACCCAACAGTATAATCACTGAGTGCTCTAATGGTAGGAAGAAGTTAAGCTGGGCTGGTTGTTAAACTTTAGCCAAGACAAAACCCTAATTGAGCTAATTACCTAAGGATGGGTCTCAGGCTGAAGACTGCTCTCTCTCATCCTAGAAGCAGGAAAAACTCAAACTCATCTTCCCTGCTGGGAGTGAGCTCAAACTATATAAAGGATTTACCTGCTTTTGATCATCACGGAAGCAGGAAATCTTGTCTTCCTTGTTGCATGCAAGTAAAGCTCAAAAAAAACAGGAGTTGTAGAGCAAAATAAATGTTAGATGTTGACCAAATTTGGGGAGATAAGGGATTCTCTGGAGGGGGTGCTCACAGACCTCAGCAAATTGTCCTATTGGTTTGAGCCATAAATTTAACTCATGCTGGTACCAAGCACCAACAGGAGATATGACAAAGGTCAGAGGCAACTCCACTGAGAATCCCTTATGGTTACCAAAATGTGAACTCTGAATATCTGAGGCAGGTCTCAGTTAATTTAGAAAGTTTATTTTGCCAAGGTTGAGGATGTTTGCCCATGACACAGCCTCAGGATATCCTGACAACATATTCCCAAGGTGATCAGAGCACAGTTTGGTTTTATATACTTTAGGGAGAAATGAGACATCAATCAACATATGTAAGATGAACATTTTTAGACAGACTTTTCAGTTTGGTCTGGAAAGGCAGGACAACTTGAAGTAAAGTCAGGAAACTTGAAATGGGGACGGGGCTTCCAGGTCATAGGTAGACAAGAGACAAATGATTGCACTTTGGGACGGTTTCTGATCAGCCTCTCCAAAGGAGGTAATCAAATATACATTTACCTCAGTGAGCAGAGGGGTAACTTTGAACAAAACGTGACGCAGGTTTGCCCTAAGCAGTTCCAAGCTTGGCTTTTTTTTTTAGCTTAGTGATTTTTAGATCCCCAAATTTATTTTTCTTTCACAAAAACATTATTCTGATAAGAGTTCCATGAGATTTACCCAAATTCCAAAGAGGTGTACAGCACAAAATATTTTAAGTAACTTCTCCTTAGAGAAAGAGACTTATTGCCAAGAACTAGAAGAAAGACAAATTTTTCTACAGTTTCCAACCTTCCTCAAAGTGCCCAGAAACCATTTAAATCCTAAAACAAATCTTCAGGCATATCATTTATAAAAGGCTAGTCTTATTTTCTAATCCACCAAATATGAGGAATACCAAAATATATTGTGTCCAGAATTGGTGGGCTCTTGGTCTCACTGACTTCAAGAATGAAGCCGCGGACCCTCGCGGTGAGTGTTACAGCTCTTAAGGTGGCACGTCTGGAGTCTGTCCCTTCTGATGTTCAGATGTGTTCAGAGTTTCTTCCTTCTGGTGGGTTCGTAGTCTCGCTGGCTCAGCAGTGAAGCTGCAGACCTTGGCGGTGAGCGTTACAGCTCTTAAGGCAGCGCGTCTGGAGTTGTTCATTCCTCCCGGTGGGCTCGTGGTCTCGCTGGGCTCAGGAGTGAAGCTGCAGATTTTCGCGGTGAGTGTTACAGCTCATAAAAGCAGCGTGGACCCAAAGAGTGAGCAGTAGCAAGATTTATGGCAAAGAGCGAAAGAACAAGGCTTCAGGTTACCAACGCTGGCTGGGGCAGCCTGCTTTTATTCTCTTATCTGGCCCCACCCACATCCTGCTGATTGGTAGAGCCGACTGGCCTGTTTTGTCAGGGTGCTGATTGGTGCGTTTACAATCCCTGAGCTAGATACAAAGGTTCTCCACATCCCCATCAGATTAGTTAGATACAGAGTTTCCACACAAAGGTTCTCCAAGGCCCCACCAGAGCAGCTAGATACAGAGTGTCGATTGGTGCACTCACAAACCTTGAGCTAAACACAGGGTGCTGATTGGTATATTTACAATCCCTGAGCTAGATATAAAGACTCTCCACGTCTCCACCAGACTCAGGAGCCCAGCTGGCTTCACCTAGTGGATCCCGCACTGGGGCTGCAGGTGGAGCTGCCTGCCAGTCCTGCGCCGTGCGCTCGCATTCCTCAGCCCTTGGGTGGTCGATGGGACTGGGCGCCGTGGAGCAGGGGGTGGTGCTCGTCGGGGAGGCTCTGGCCGCACAGGAGCCCATGGAGTGGGTGGGAGGCTCAGGCATGGCAGGCTGCAGGTCCCGAGCCCTGCCCCGCGGGAAGGCAGCTAAGGCCCGGCGAGAAATCGAGCGCAGCGCCGGTGGGCCAGCACTGCTGGGGTACCCAGTACGCCCTCCGCAGCCACTGGCCCGGGTGCTAAGTTCCCCAGTGCCCGGGGCCAGCAGGGCTGGCTGGCTGCTCCGAGTGCGGGGCCCACCAAGTCCATGCCCACCCGGAACTCCAGCTGGCCCGCAAGCACCGCACGCAGCCCCGGTTCCCACTCGCGCCTCTCCCTCCACACCTCCCTGCAAGCTGAGGGAGTGGGCTCTGGCCTTGGCCAGCCCAGAAAGGGGCTCCCACAGTGCAGTGGGGGCTGAGGGGCTCCTCAAATGCCGCCAAAGTGGGATCCCAGGCAGGGGAGGTGCCGAGAGCAAGCGAGGGCTCTGAGGACTGCCAGCACGCTGTTACCTCTCAATATGAGGAATATCAAAAGCTCCACAGCATGAAATATCTTCCTGAACTAAAAGGGCCTGCAATTCCCAGCATAACTTCCAACTTTCAAGACTTTTAGTCCATTTTAACTGATGCAAAGCATTATGAAATTATGTATATTGATAATTGCCCTTAAGTGGAGATATGAATTTTCTTGAATTCTCATGGGATGTGTGACATTGAAATAATTTTGGAGGATGGGTTCTTAATTTTTTCGTTAGTAAACAGAGTACATAATACTTGTACGGTGAAATTTAGAACTTTTTTAGTTGTTTGTAAGGGCCAAATGAATTTCAATTATGTGTAAGTAAAAACTCTTGAAAGTAGTCCATGTCATCAACAATATAAGTAGGAGAAGGAAAGGATAAATAGACTAACAGAAGCAGGATTTAATGTTGAGCAACCCTTAAATAGAAAAAAATGGCATATAATGATAATATCAGACTAGGATACAAATTACCTAGAAAGGAAGGTGGCAAATAAAGGGCAGTGATTGTTGCCACACAGAAGCTTTGAAATGCAGAATGCAATAGATAGTAGTGTGGAAGCTTTACGCTGAAGAACTAAAACTCTTATTATAAAAATTATTGTCAAAAAGGTTTATTTTAGGAAACTATTATTAAGTTTGATTATAATGAATTTAAAGGCCAAACAGAATAAATCAGAGACAATATAGAAGGCTTAAAACATATTTTATAGGATAACATATAGTACCTCCTATTTTCCCTAGGACATGCTCATACATGCATGCATTCCTTCATAAAAATAATTTACTTATTTGATCATACAAAAATATTAACTACTACAATGTACCTTCCCTCATGGAAGGTACTTTCAAGTGGTAATAAATAGAAAATAAAACAATAAATAATATAATTTTATATTGAGAGTGTGTGAGAATTTTAAAAAGGGTCACTCGAGGTAATAATATTTTAGCTAAGTCATGAGCAACAAATATATAGAGCCTTTTATATGCCAAAAACTCTGCTAGTCACATACAATGCAGATTACATTCAAAAGGGAAGACATATTTAAAAAGCTAAACACAGCCAGGTGCGGTCAATCATGCCTGTAATCGCACCACTTTGGGAGTCCAAGGCGGGTGGATCATCTGAGGTCAGGAGTTCAAGACCAGCCTGGCCTACATGGTGAAACCCTGTCTCTACTCAACATTAATTGGGCGTGGTGGCAGGCGCCTGTAATCTCAGCTACTCAGTAGACTGAGGCAGGAGAATCTCTTGAACCCAGGAAACAGAGGTTTCAGTGAGCCGAGATTGCACCACTGTACTCCAGCCTGGGTGAAAGACTGAGACTCCGTCTCAAAAATAAAATAAAATAAAATATTAAACAAATAAATAATTTTATATAACACATGTAAAAAACACTAGCAATAAAAAAATTAAGGGTCTAAAACAAAAAAAGTTATTCAGTGGTGATGATTTTTGTATATTTTTTAATTTTTTAATTTTTAATTTTTGTGGTTGCATAGTACATGTATACATGTATGGGGCAGATGAGGTATTTTGATATATCATATCATATCAGGCATATAATGTGATATAAGCAGATCATAAAGAATTGGATATCCATCCTCTCAAGCATTTATCCATTCAGTTGAGATCAATCCAATGACACTCTTTTAAATTATTTTAAAATGCAAAGTTCAGTTATTATTGACTATGGTCACATTGTTGCGCTATCAAATAGTAGGGCTCATACATTCTTTCTGTTTCATTTTGTACTATTAACCATCTCCACCTCCCCTAACAGGCCCCCACTACTCTTACCAGCCTCTAGTAACCATTCTTCTACTCTCTACATTCGCAAGTTCAATTGTTTTGATTTATAATTATAGAAATAAGTGAGAACATGCAATATATGTTTTTCCGTGCCTGCCTTATTTCAGTTAACATAATAATCTCCACTTCCACCCATGTTTCACAAATGACTGGATCTCATTCTTTTTTATGGCTGAATAAGTACTCCATTGTATATATATGCCACATTTTCTTTATCCATTTATCTCTTGATGGACACAGGTTGCTTCCAAATCTTCGCTATTGTAAACAGTGCTGCAACAAAAATAGGAGTGCAGATATCTTTTTGATATACTGATTTCCTTTCTTTTGCATATGTATCCAGAAATGAGATTTCTGGAACATATGTTAGCTCAATTTTTAGTTTTTTGAGAAACCTCTAAACTGTTCTCCATAGTGGTTGTACTAATTTACATTCCCACTAACAGTGTACAAGGGTTTCCTTTCTCTCTATCTTCTCCAGCGTTTTTTATTGCCTGTTTTGGATATAAGCAATTTTACTTGGGGAGAGATGATATCTCATTGTATATTTGATTTGCATTTCTCTGATGATCAATGATGTTGAGAACCTTTTCAAATGCCTGCTTGTCATTTGTGTGTCTTCTTTTTAGAAATAACTATTTAAATCTTTTGCCCACTTTTTGATCACATTATTAGTTTTTTTCTATAGAGTTGTTTGAGTTTCTTATATATTCTGGTTATTCATCCCTTGTTAGATGTGTAATTTGCAAATATTTTCCCCTATTATCTTGGTTGTCTCTTCATTTTGTTGATTGTATCCTTTGCTGTGCAGAAGCCCTTTCACTTGACGTGATCCCATTTGTTCACTTTTGCTTTGTTTGTGTTTGTGGAGTATTGCTCAAGAAAATTTGCTCAGATCAATGTCCTGGAGATATTCCCCAATGTTCTTCTGAAGTAACTTCATCGTTTGAGGTCTTCGATTTACGTTTTCAATCCATTTTGATTTAATTTTTGTTAAATCAAAAAGATATAGAGGTCTAGTTTTATTCTTCTGCATGTGGATATGCAGTTTCTTCAGGGCCATTTATTAAGATACTCTCTTTTCCCCCAGTGTATGTCTTGGCATCTTTCTTGAAAATGAGTTCACTGTAGGTGTTTGAATTTGTTCCTGGGTTCTCTGTTCTATTGTATTGGTCTATGTGTTTTGTTTTTGTTTTTGTTTTTGTTTGTTTTTGTTTTTTTTGCCAGTACTATTTTGCTATTTTGGTTACTACAGCTTTGCATTATAATTTCAAGTCAAGTAATGTGATTCTTTTTTTTTTTTTTTTTTTTAGCTCAGGAAACCTTTGGTTCTTCTGGGTGTTTTGTGGTTCCATATAAATCTTAGAATTGTTTTTTTTTTTTCTCTATTTCTGCGAGAAAGTCATTGGCATTTTGGTAGGGATTGCATTGAATCTATAGAGTATGGACATTTTAACAATATTGATTGATTCTTTCAACTCGTGAACAGGGAATATCTCTCCATTTTTTTGGTGACCTCTTCAATTTCTTTCATCAGTGTTTTATAGTTTTAGTTACAATCTTTCACTTCTTTGGTTATATTAATTCCTAGGTATTTAATTTTATGTGTGCTTATTTTAAATGGGATTACTTTTTAAATTTCTTTTTCACATTGTTCACTGTTGACATATAGAAATACTACCAAGTTTTGTACATTGATTTTGTATCCTGAAACTTTACTGAATGTGTTTATCACTTCTAGTAGTTTTCTTGTGGAATCTTCAGAATTTTCCATATATAATATCATCTGAAAACAAAGAAATTTGACTTGCTCATTTCCAATTTGGATGTCCTTTATATGTTTCTTGTGTATGTTTGCTCTAGCTAGAACTTCCAGCACTATGTAAAATAACAATGGTGACAATGGACATTCTTGTCTTGTTTCAGATCTTATATGAAAGTTTTTTAGTTTTTCCTTATTAAGTATAATACTACCTGTGAATCTGTCATATATGATTTTCATTATGTTGAGTTACATTCCTTACATCCCCAGTTTTTTTAGAGTTTTTATTACGAAAGGATTTTGAATTTTATCCAATGCTTTCTCAACATCAATTGAAATTATCATATAGATTTATCCTTCATTCTGTTGATATGTATTACATTTATTGATTTGTATATGTTGAACCATCCTTACATCCCTGGGATAAATCTCACTTGGTCATGATGAATGATCTTTCTAACGTATTGTTGAATTTGCTTTGCTAGTATTTTGTTGAGTATTTTTGCATCAATATACATCAGAAATATTGGCCTGTCATTTTCCTTTTAAAATGTGTCTTTTTCTAGTTTTCATATCAGGGTAACACTGGCCTCATAGAATGAGTTTGAAAGTATTCCCTTCTCCTCTATTTTTTGGAATAGTTTAAGTAGGATTGGTATTAGTTCTCTAAATGTTTGATAAAATTCAGCAGTTTGATAAAAATCAGGTCCTAGGGTTTTCATTACTGGCAGAGTTTTATTACAGCTTCAATGTAGTTACTTGTTATTGGTCTGTTCAGATATTGGGTTTCTTAATTTAACCTTGGTGTGATGTGTGTGTCTGGAAATTTGTCCATTTATTCTAGATTTTCCAATTTATTGGCATATAGTTTCTTATAGTAGCCAATAATGATCCTTTGAATGTCTACAGTAACATTTATACTCTCTCCTCTTTCATTTCTGATTTTTTTTTTATCTTTTTTGTCTTTGTGTGGCTACAGGTTTTCAATTTTGTGTAAATTTCCAAGAAACCCACAACTTTTTGTTTCATTAACATTTTGTATTTTTTCATTCCAATTTTATTTCTGCTTCGATCTTTATAATTTCCTTTTTTTCCTGCTAATTTTGGGTGTGCTTTCATCTTGCTTTTCTAGTTCTTTAAGATGCATTATTACACTTATTATTTGAAGGCTTTTCTCTGTTTAGATGTAGACAGTTATAGCTATAAATTTCCTTCTCAGTATTGCTTTTGCTATATTCCATAAGTTTTAGTATGTTGTGTTTGCATTATTATTTGTTTCAAGAAGAGTTTCTCTTTTCTTCTTAATATCTTCACTGGCCCACTGGTCATTCAGAAGTGTAGTGTTTAATTTCTAGGCATTTGTAAAATTTCCAAAATTTCTCCTGTTATTCATCTCTAGTTTTATCCCATTATGTTCAGAGAAGATGCTTGATATAATTTCAATTTTTTTGAAAGTTTTAAGATTTTTTGGGGACATAATATATGATCTACTTTTGAGAATAATTCATATGCTGAGGAAAATAATGTGTATTCTGCAGCTCTTGGATGAAGTATTCTGTAAATACCTATTAAATCCATTTGTTCTACAGTGCAGATTAATACTAACGTTTGTTGATTTTCAGTGTGGAGGATCTGGCTAATGTGAAAAGTGGGGTGTTGATGTCACTATCTATTATTGTATTGTGGCCTATCTCTCTAGCTCTAATAATATTTCCTTTATGTATCTCGGTGCTCCAGTGTTGGGTGCATATATATTTAAAATTGTTATATTATCTTGCTAAATTGACCTCTTTATCATTAGTTACCTTCTGTGTCTGTTTTTATAGTTATTCTCTCAAAATTTATTTTTCTAATGTAAGTATAGTGACTCCTGCTCTTTTTTGGTTTCCATTGGCATTAGATGTCTTTTTCTATTCCTTTATTATCTAACTATGTGTGTCTTTATAGGCAAAATGTGTTTTTTGTATGCAAGAGGTCAATGAGTCCTTTTTTTTAATTCATTCAGTCAGTCTCTGTCTTTTGATTGGAGAATTTAGTCCATTTACATTCAATGTTATTACTCCTGCCATTTTAATGCTTTCTGGTTGTTTTTCTCTTCACTTTTTCCTTTATTCCTGTCTTCTAGTGGAAATGATTTTCTCTGATGATATGATTTATTTTCTTGCTTTTGTTTTGTGTATTTACCGTATTTTTTTGTTTTTGTTTTTTGGCTACCATGAGGATTGCAAATACGAGTCAATATTTTAACCTCATAACAACTTACTACTAAATGCATAAACGAACAAAGAGAAAAATAACAAAAACTCACCTTAACTTTGTCCCTTGGCTTTTTAACTTTCTGTTATTTCTATTTTTTATTATTATATTGACTATGTTTTGAAAAGCTGTTGTAATTATTATTTTTGATTGGTTTATCATTTAGTCTTTCTACTTCAGATAAGAACAGTTTACACACCATAGTTACAGTGTTATAATAGTTTGTGTTTTTCTGTGTACTTACTTTTACCAGTAGGTTTTGTACATTCAGTTGATTATTTATTGCTCATTAATGTCCTTTTTTTTCTGATTAAACTACTCCATTTAGCATCTCTTAAAGGACGGTTCTGGTATTGATGAAGTCTCTCAGCTTTTGTTTGCTTGGGAAAGTCTTTAGTTCTCCATCACGTTTGATGGATATTTTCACTAGATATAATATTTTAAGGTAAAATACATTTTTCCCCTTCAGCACGTTAAGCATGTTATTCTAATCTCTCCTGGCCTTTGAGGTTTTCAATAAAAGTCTGCTGCCAGATCTATAAGCTTCTCTTACATGCATATTGATATATTTCTGTAAGTTTGGAAAGTTCTCTGTTATTATCCCTTTCAATAAACTTTCTACCCATCGCTTTCTTTCTTTTCTTTTTTTTAGTGGCTTAAATAGTCCTTTATTCCTTAATCAGGTCTTTTTTTTTCTGAACTCGGTATATTACATAAGACTTTTTTAGTGTTTTGTTTTTGTTTTACTATACACACACACACACACACACACACACACACACACACACACACACATATATATATATACTTTTTATAGGTCTTTGGAAAGCAGATGGTGTTTGACTACATGAGTAAATTCTTTGGTGGTGATTTGTGAGATTTTGCTGCACCTATCACCTGAGCAGTATACACAACACAATTTGTAGTATATGATGCCTCACCCTCCTCCCACCCTTTCCCTCAAGTCCCTAAAGTCCATTGTATCATTCTTATGACTTTGTATCCCCACAGGTTAGCTTCCACTTATAAGTGAGAACATACAATGTTTGGTTTTCCATTTCTGAGTTACTTTACTTAGAATAATAATCTCCAGTTCCATGCAGGTTGTTGTAAATGCCATTAATCCATTCTTTTTTATGACTTGAGTATTACTCCATCATACATACATGCCAAAATTTCTTTATCCACTCATTTATTGATGGGCAATTGGGCTGGTTTCATATTTTTGCAATTGTGACTTGTGCTGCTATAAACATATGTGTGCAAGTATCTTTTTAATATAATGACTTCTTTTCCTCTGGGTAGATACCCAGTCATGGGATTGCTGAATAAAATGGTAGTTCTACTTTTAGTTTTTTAAGAAATCTCCACACTGTTTTCCATAGTGGTCGTACTAGTTTACATTACCACCAGCAGTGTAGAAGTGCTCCTCTTTTCCTGCATCCATGCCAAGATCTATTATTTTTTTAAATTTTTTGATAATGGCCATTCTTACAGGTGTAAGGTGGTATAGCATTGTGGTTTTGATTTGCTTGCTCCTGATCATTAGTGATGTTGAGCATTTTATCACATGCTTGTTGGCCATTTAGTATATTTTATTTTGGGAATTGTCTATGCATGTGTTTAACCCACTTTTTGAAGGGATTGTTAGATTTTTTGTTGCTAATTTGTTTGAGTTCCTTGTAGATTCTGGATATTAGTCTTTTGTTGAATGTATAGGTTGTGAAGATTTTCTCTCACTCTGAGGGCTGTTTACTCTGCTGGAAGTTCCTTTTGCTGTGCAGAAGCTCTTTAGTTTAGTGAAGTCCAACCTAGTTATCTTTGTTTATGTTGCATTTTCTTTTGAATTCTTGGTCATGAATTCTTTGTCTAAGCCAATGTCTAAAATGTTTTTTCTGATGTTATCTTCTAGAATTTTTATAGATTTAGGTCTTAGATTTAAATCCTTGATCCATCTTGGGTTGACTTTTGTGTAAAGTAAGAGATGAGAATCTGGTTTCATTCTCCTACATGTGGCTTGCCAAATATCCCAGCAAGATTTGTTGAATAAGGTGTCATTTCCCCGATTTATGTTTTCGTGTGCTTTGTCAAAGATCAGGTGGCTGTAAATATTTCAGTTTATTTCTGGGTTTTCTATTTTGTTCCATTGGTCTGTGCCAAATTTTATACCAGTACCATGCTGTTTTGGTGACTATAGCTTCATAGTATAGTTTGAAGTCAGGTAATGTGATGCCTTCGGACTTGTTCTCTTTGCTTAGTCTTGCTTTGCCTATGTGGGCTCTTTTTTGGTTCCATATGAATGTTGGGATTGTTTTTTCTAGCTCTGTGAGGAATAATGTTGGTACTTTCATGGGAATTGAATTGAATGTGTAGATTGTTTTTGGCAGTATGGCCATTTCACAATATTGATTCTACTCATCTATGAGAACAAAATATGTTTTCAATTTTTTCTGTCATCTATGATTTATTTCAGGAGTGTTTTGAAATTTTCTTTGTAGACGTCTTTTACCTCCTTGGTTAGGTATAATTTTAAGTGTTTTATTTTTTTCACAGCTATTGTAAAGGGTTTTAGTTCGTGATTTGATTCTCAGCTTGGTCTCTGTTGATGTATAGAAAAACTACTGAATTGTGTACATTAATTTTTTATCCTGAAACTGCTGAATTCATTTATTAGTTCTAAGAGATTTTTGGAGGAATCTTTAGGGTTTTATAGGTATACAATCATATCATCAGCAAACAGTGACAGTTTGACTTCCTGTTTACCCATTCAAATACCCTTTATTTCTTCCTCTTATCTGATTGGTTTGGCTAGAACTTCCAGTACTATGCCAAATAAATTTGATGAAAGTGGGCATCCTTGCCTTGTTCTAGATCTCAGGGAGAATGCTTTCAACATTTTCCCCATTCAATATTATGTTGGCTGTGGGTTTGTCATAGATGGCTTTTATTATTTATTTATTTATTGAGATGGAGTCTTGCTCTGTCACCAGGCTAGAGTGCAGTGGCGCAATCTCAGCTCACTGCAACCTCTGCCTCCCAGTTTCAAGTGATTCTTCTGCCTCAGCCTCCTGAGTAGCTGGGACTACAGGCACACGCCACCATGCCCAGCTAATTTATTAGTTTTTTTTTTTTTTAGTAGAGACAGGGTTTCACCATGTTGGCCAGGATGGTCTTGATCCCTTGACCTTGTGATCTGCCCACCTCGGCTTCCCAAAGTGCTGAGATTACAGGCGTGAGCTACTGTGCCTGTCTGATGGCTTTTATTACATAGAATTATGTCTCTTGTATGCCAATTTTGCTGATGAATTTAATTATAAAGTGATGCTGGATTTTGTCAAATGCTTTTTCTGCATTTATTGAGATCATTATATGATTTTTGTTTTTAATTCTGTTAATGTGGTGTATCACATTCATTAACTTGCATATGTTAAACCATCCCTGCATCCCTGCCTCCCTGGAATGAAACCAACTTGATTATGATACATTATCTTTATTTTATTTTATTTTATTTTATTTTATTTTATTTTATTTTATTTTATTTTATTTTATTTTATTTTTTTGAGATGGCGTCTCACTCTGTCACCCAGTCTGGAGTACAGTGGCATGATCTTGGCTCATTGCAACCTCTGCCTCCTGGGCTTAAGCAATTCTCATGCCTCAGTGTCCTGAGTAGCTGGGATTACAGGTGTGCACCACTATGCCCAGCTACTTTTTGTACTTTTAGTAGAGATGAGGCTTCACCATGTTGGCCAGGCTGGTCTCGAAACCCTGACCTCAAATGATCCACCTGCTTTGGCCTCTCAAAGTGCTGGATTACAGGCATGGACCACCATGCTTGACTGGATTATCTTTTTGACATGCTGTTGAATTTCATTAGCTATTTTTTGTTAAGGATTTTTGCATCTATGTTCATCAAGGATATTGGTCTGTAGTTTTCTTTTTTTGTTATGTTCTTTCCTGGTTTTGGTATTATGGTGATACTGGATTCATAGATTCATTTAGAGAGGATTTCCTTTTCCTCTGTCTTGTAGAATAGTGTGAGTAAAATTGGTACCAATTCCTCTTTGAATGTCTGATTGAATTCAGCTGTGAATCTGTCTGGTCATGGACCTTTTTTGTTGGTAATTTTTTATATGCATTTTAATCTTGCTGCTTCTTATTAGTCTCCTCGGGATTTCTAATTCTTCCTTATTTAAGCTAGGATGGTTGTATATTTCCAGGAATTTATCCATATTCTCTAGGTTTTGTAATTTACGCACATAAACTATGTGTTCATAATATCATTAAATGACCTTTTATATTTCTGTTGTGTCAGTTGTAATATCTCCCATTTCATTTTTAATTGAACTTATTTGCATCTTGTTTCTTCTTTTCTTGGTTAACCTTGTGAATGTTCTGTCAATTTTATTTATCTTTAAAAAGAAACAGCTTTTTGTTTCATTTATCTTTTGTATTTGTGTGAGTGTGTGTGTGTGTGTTTCAATTTCATTTAGTTCTGCTCTGTTCTTGATTACTTATTTTCTTCTGGTGAATTTGGGTTTGTTTTTTTCTTATTTCTCCAGTTCCTTGAGATTTGACCTTAGACTATCTATTTGTGCTCTTTTGGACTTTTTGATGTAGGCATTTAAGGCTATGGACTTTCCTCTTAGCACTACCTTTGTCCTATCTCAGTGGTTTTGACAGGTTGCATCACCATTATCATTCAGTTCAAGTACGTTTTTTAAATTTTCATCTTGATTTCATTGTTTACCCAATAATCATTCAGGAGCAGTTTATTTAATTTCTATGTACTTGCATGGTTTTGAAGGTTCCTTTTGGAGTTGATTTCCAATTTTTTTCCACTGTGGTCTGAGAGAGTACTTGATAAAATTTTATTTTTTAAAGTTCTATTGAGACTTGTTTTGTGGACTGTCATATGGTCTATCTTGGATAAATTTCCATGCACTGATGAACAGAATGTTTATTCTGCAGTTGTTATGTAAAATGTTCTGTAAATACCTGTTAAGTCCATTTGTTCTTGGGTATAGTTTAAATTCATATTTTCTTTGTTGACTTTCTGTTTTGATGACTTGTCTAGTACTGTCACTGGAGTATTAAAATCCTCCACTATTATTGTGTTGCTGTCTATCTCATTTCTTAGGTCTATTAGTAATTGTTTTATAAATTTGAGAGCTCCAGTGTTAGGTGCGTATATATTTAGAATTGTGATATTTTCATGTTGGACAAAGCTATTTATCATTATATAAAGTCCCTCTTTGTCTTTTTAAATTGCTTTTTTTAAAAAAAGTTTGTAATGTCTGATAGAAGAATAGCTACTACTGCTTGTTTTGGGTGTCTATTTGCATAAAATGTCTTTTTCCACTCCTTTACCTTAAGTTTATGTGAGTCCTTATGTGTTAGGTGAGTCTTTTGAAGGCAGCAGACACTTGGTTGGTGAATTGTTATCCATTCTGCTATTCTTTATCTTTTAAGTGGCACATTTAGGCTATTTATATTCAACGTTACAATTCCATTCATTGTGCTATTTATTGCCTGAACATCTTGTTTTTTTAAATTAATTTATTTATTTTTCATATTTTTGTTTTATAGGTCCTGTGAGACTCATGCTTTAAAGAGGTACTGCTTCTGTGTGTTTTCAGGATTTGTTTCAAGATTTAGAGCTCCTTTTAGTAGTTCTTATAGTGCTGGCTTGGTAGTGGTGAATTCTCTCAGCATTTGTTTGTCTGAGAAAAACTGTATCTTTCATTTATCAAGCTTCATTTCACTGGATAGAAAATTCTTGGCTGATAATTGTTTTGTTTAAGGGGGCTGAAAATAGGGCACCAATTCCTTTTAGCTTGTAGGGTTTCTGCTGAGAAATATGCTGTTAATCTGATAGGTTTTTCTTTGTAGGCTACATGGTGCCTTTGCCTCACAACTCTTAAGATGCTTTCCTTCGTGTTGAGTTTAGATAACCTGATGACCATGTGCCTAGGTGATTATTTTTTTGTGATGAATTTTCTTTGAGTTTCCTGTATTTGGATATCTAGATCTCTAGAGAGGTCAGGAAAGTTTTCCTCAATTATTTCCCCAAATATATTTTCCAAACTTTTAGATTTCTTTTCTTCCTCAAGAGTGCCAGTTATTCTTATAACTGGCATTTAGTCATTAAACATAATCTCAAACTCCTTGGAGCCTTTGTTCATTTTCTTAAAATTATTTTTCATTTGTCTTTGTTGGGTTGGGTTATTTCTCAAACCTTGTCTTTGAGCTCTGAAGTTCTTTCTTCTGCTTGTTTGACTCTATTGCTAAGACCTTCTAGAACCCTTTGCATTTATCTAAGCGTGTCCTTTATTTCCTGAAGTTGCACTTGTTTTTTATTTAAGCTATCTATTTCACTGAAGGTTTCTCCACTCATATATTGTATCATTGTTTTGATTTCTTTAAATTGAACTTAAAGTTTCTCTGGTACCTCCTTGATTAGCTTAATAATTGACCTGAATTCTTTTTATTGTAATTCAGGGATCTCTTCCTGGTTTGAATCCATTGCTGGTGCCCTAGTGTGATTTTTTGGGGGGTGTTAAAGAACCCTGTTTTGTCTTATTAGCAGGATTGTTTTTCTGGTTTCTTCTCATTTAGGTAGGCTATCTCAGAGGGAAGATCTGGGGCTCAAGGCTGCTGTTCAGATTCTTTTTTGGCCATGGGGTGTTTCCTTGATGTAGCACTATTTCCCTTTTTCTATAAATGTGGCTTACTTAGATCTGTGCTGTAGTGATTGTTATTTCTCTTATTGATCTAGCCACCCAGCAGGCCTACCAGGCCCTGGGCTGGTCTTGTGGGGTGTCTGCGTAGAGTTTTGTGATGTGAACCTTCTTCAGGTCTCTCAGCCATGGATACCAGCACCTGCTCCAGTGGAGGTGGCAGGGGAGTAAAATGGACTCTGTGAGAGTCCTTAGTTGTAGTTGTTTAATGCATTAGTTTTGTGCTAGTTGGTCTCCTTCCTGGAGTTGGTGCTTTCAAGAGAGCATCAGATGTGGTAGTATACAGGAGGGTCAGGTGGTGGGTGGGGCCCTAGCATTCCCAAGAGAATATGACCTTTGTCTTCAGCTACCAGGGCAGGTAGGGAAAGACCATAAGGTGGAGGCAGTGTAAGGCCTATCTGAGCTTAGACTCTCCTTGCTGCAGCTGCGTGGGGATGGGGTTGTGGTTTCCAGGTCAATGTAGTTATGTTCCCAAAATGATTATGGCTGCCTCTGCTGTTTCATGCAGGTTTTCAGGGAAGCTGGGGAATGCCAGCAGTTACAGGCCTCACTCAGCTCCTGTGCAACCCAAAAGGCTGGTCTCACTCCCTCCATGCCATCCCAATAGCACCAAGTTTGTTCCCAGCAGTGGATGAGCAGGGCTGAGAACTTGCTCTAGGCTATCAGCCTCCCAGCTAAGAAAGCAAACAGGGCTTTTGCACCTCTCCACCTGTTGAGTCTGCAAACCAGATTCATGCTCTTCCCCAAGTTCTGGCCAGGAATCTTCACCCTTGGTTGGAATTGTTACAAAGTTCAACTGGAGGTTTCCTTCTCCTTGTGTTCTTTTTCCAGTTCCTCTGGCAGCCCTCCCCAAGGACCCCTATGAGACAAGTCAAAAATGGCTTCCCTGGGGACCCACAGAGCCCACAGGGCTTTTCCCACTGCTTCCTCTACTCCTGTATTTCACTCAGCTCTCTAAATTTTCTCAGTTCCAGGTAAGGTCAAATCCTTCTCCCGTGATCTGGACATTCAAGTTCCGCAGTGAGGGTGTGTGTTCAGGGGTGGACAGTCCCCCTTTTCCACTTTCACATTTTGGGCACTCACAATATTTGGGCTGTCTCCCATGTCCTGCAGGAGCAATCCACTTCCTTCAAAGGGTCTGTGGATTCCCTCGGCTTTCCTGGTTTATTCCTGAAGTACTTCTTAGAGCAAAAGTTCACAGTGCAAGTCTTCCCATGGTGCTCTGTCCATCCAAATGAGAGCTGCAATTTAGTCCCGCCTCCTATCCACAACTTTTTTCATCTCTCCTACCCCTCTCTTTCTCTGTCTCCTCTTTAAGGCCAATAACTCTTAGACTGGCCCTTTTGAGGCTATTTTCTAGATTCTGTAGGTGTGCTTTCTTGGTTTTTATTCTTTTTTTTTCTATCTCCTTTGACTGTGTATTTTCATGTAGCCTATATTCAAACTCACTATTTCTTTCTTCTGCCTGATCAGTTCTGCCAGCAATTCACACTCATGCATTCTTCAGTATGCCAATTTCCTTTTCCAGCTCCAGAATTTTTGTTGAATTTTTTTAATGATTTCAATCTCTTTTGTTAAATTTATCTTATATAATTCTTAATTTCTTATCTATGTTATCTTGAATTTATCTGAATTTCCTCAACACAGCCATTTTGAATTTTCTGTCCGAAAGGTCACATCTCTATTTCTCCAGAATTGGTCCTTGGTGCCTTATGTAGCTCATTTGACATGGTCATGTTTTCCTGGTTGGTGTTGATGCTAGTAGATGTTCTTTGGTGTCTGAGCATTGAAGAGTTAGGTATTTATTGCAGTCTTCACTGTCTGGGCTTATTCGTAGCCATCCTTCTTGTGAAGGCTTTCCAGATATTGAGAAGACTTGCATGTTGTGATCTAAGCTGTTTCTGCTTTAGGAGAAACCCCAAGGCCAGCAATGCTGTGGTTCTTTTAGACTCACAGAAGTATCACCTTGATATCCTCGGGCAAGATCCAGGAAAATTCTCTGCATTATCAAACAGAGACTCTTTTCTTACTTTCTCCCAAGCATACAGTCTCTCTCTCTCTCTCTCACTCTCTCTCTCACCACCTAAAGCTGGGGGTGGAGTTACAGAAGCACCCTTGTGGCCACCACCATTACGACTGTGCTGGGTCAGTATTGAAGCCAGCACAGCACTGAGTCTTGCCTAAGGCCTGCTTTAACCACTCCCTGGCCACTGCCAATGTCAGTAAAAGTCCTGGAGCTCTACAATCAGCAGGTAGCAATGCCAGCCAGACCTATGTCTTTCCCTTCAAGGCAGTAAGTTACCTTTTCCCCAGGTGAGCCCAGAAGTATCATCCAAGTATCAGGGACTAGAGTTAAAAATCTTAGAAGTCTACCTGGTGTTGAGCTGATACTCAAACCACAAGATGCAGTTTATTTCACTTTTCCCTCCCTTTTCCAAAGGCAGAGGAAACTTACCTCATAGCCACAGCCACCCCTGGTCACAAGAAGTGCTGCCAGACTATCACTGATGTTCCATTAAGGCCCAAGGTCTCTTAAGTCCACTTGTGCAAGACTGCCTGGTCTTGCACTCACCCTTCAGGGCAATGGGCTCCCCTCTTGCCTTTGGAAGGTCTAGACATGCCATCCAAGAGTCAAGTCCTGGGATCAGGGACCCCAAGAGCCCGCTTGGTGCTCCACACCCTTGTGGCAGTTGGTACCTAAGATGCAAGACAAAGTCCCCTTTATATTTTCCTCTGCTTTCCTCAAGCAGAAGGAGTTTGGACACCACAGCTGGTAATGTGTTAGTCTCACCTGAAGCCAGCAAGTCTTAGAAGCTCATCAAGGCCCTCAATGTACTACCTGGGTATTGCTGCTGGTTTTTCAGGGCCCAGGGGCTCTTCAGTTAGTGGGTGATGAATGCTGACAGGATGAGTTTCTTTTCTTCAAGGCAGTGGGTTCCCTTCTGGCTCAGGATATGTCTGGAAATATCCCAAAGCTATGGCCTGAAATGGAGGCCTCATGATGGGTGCCTTATCCTGTCGTGGTTGGGCTGGTATCCAAAATGCAACACGAAGTCCTCTGCACTCTTCTTTGTCCTCTCCTCAAGCAGAAGAAGGGATCTCTTTTGCAGCCACGAGCTATGCAGCCTGGGGTTAGCAGGGAGGTCATGCCAGCACTCCCTTGGCTGCCTCAGCTGGTGTTTCAGTAGGTCACATGCCTACTCAAAGCAGGAAGTTTTCTATCAGTGGAGCTTTATATTTAACCATCTCGCTCCTCTTCCTCAGTGGTGATTACATTAGCTAACCATTGTGTAACAGAAAATATTTTTCAGGCAGAGGGAACCTCAACTATATTCATTTTTCATAATACAGAAAAATTGGAATTAACTTAAATGATCATCATCAGGAAAATGGATAAATTTTGGTATATGATTATAATGCAATTCTGCACATTACTTACAACTAGTTAACTCACATAGTTAAGTCTCAGAAATGTAATCTAGAGTTTAAAAAGCCAGTTGGAGAGGTGAGTTATAGTTTGATGTCATTTTCTGTTACATTTTAAGCCTGCACGTCAGTACTGTATAATGTTTCTGGATATATACATATGTAATAAAAGTAAAGTAAAACGTGCATGGGAATTATAAATACTGAATTTGGTTGACTAGTTGCCCTTGGTAAACAGAAAGGAAAGTAGCTAAGTGAGGGTAATTTTCAACCATGTTTATTTGTTTTTTTTAATTATTCGAAGCAAATATGGAAATTATTGATATCTATTTTTTATTTGAGAGATACATAGGTTTCTCTTATATGTTTTCTAGTTTTCTATATTTTTAAAATATACCATTATTTAAATAATTAAAATAAATAACCCTGTGATAAATATCATTTTAGGTAAACCTTATGCACAACCCTGCAACCAATGCATAGAATTTATGAACATTTTTAGAAACTTTCCTCAATTATTTATAATCACTACAACTTCCCCTAATTCAATATCATATTTTAAAGACTTGCCCCCATAAGTTTTTCCAAAAATTCAGCACAGATTTCACTAAAAGCAACTTATGTTTCAGTCAGTATAATCTACAGTGAGAATGGAGGGTAGTCAGTAATGTGGCTCATTGGTTAAGTGGAAGTGAGTTAAGAAAACTTCCTGCTGTGAGTTATTTTAATTGATTTTTTACATTTTCTGGATTCGTAGTAGGTATATATTATAATAATTGTGGTGCTTCTCCCTTCTTATCTTCACATATTTTGGTTATTTTTATTTCCAGTTTTCAGTGACTACAAAATTGAGAACAGTGTTTTTAAATGGTGGTGATAATAGGTACTTTGGACATATTGTAGACAGTAATGGGTAGTTTATGACAGCTATTTGTTTATCTTATTTTGGAAATACTCTTTCATTAAACATGAAATTGTTAGTCTGCATCTATGTTCACTTTAATTATTATTTTCTATTTAGTCATTGTTATTTAGAAAGAGAGGACTAGCCACATATTTATATGTCTAATTTACGGTCCTAAAGAGGAGAGAGAGCACCCTTGACATAATTAACTCCATATTAGAAAACGTCTCCATCTTGCATTTCATAGGGCACTTTGCCAACAGGGAAAATATATTTTGCTTAATAAAGAAATAAAAAAATAAAGACTGCATCCAACCAGGTAAAGACATACATAAACAAGCGCATTCCTCCACTGTCAGTTTTTGCCAGAGGACTCTGGCTATACAAAGAGCAAGGCTTGAGCAGTTCTAAATAGCCATCTTAACTGACATCATCTTACTATCAACCCCAATAAGCACTTAGCATCTATTACCAAACGCTCTGCCCACACAGGGATTCTTCCAATAGACCACTGAGCCCAGACCACCAGATTATTTTTGCCTTTGTTGCTTTGCATGGACTAGTGTATTAACACCTTTTTCTATTTCTTTTCTCTTGATGTTAAATATTTCTTTATTTCTTTATGAAATGTTTAATCTATGACTTTATATATTGATTAAGTATACCTTTTTTTTTTTTTTTTTTTTTTTGAGACGGAGACTCGCTTTGTCACCCAGGCTGCAGTGCAGTGGCGCGATCTCGGCTCACTGCAAGCTCCACCTCCAGGGTTCATGCCATTCTCCTGCCTCAGCCTCCCGAGTAGCTGGGACTACAGGCGCCCACCACCACGCCCGGCTAATTTTTTGTATTTTTAGTGGAGACGGGGTTTCACCGTGTTAGCCAGGATGGTCTCGATCTCCCGACCTCGTGATCCGCCCGCCTCAGCCTCCCAAAGTGCTGGGATTTCAGGTATGAGCCACCGCGCCCGGCCCGATTAAGTATACTATTATGTATGATTGGCAATATTGACTGGCTTGTGGAGTGGCTTGTGCCTGTGTACCCAAGGTCTCATTACCAAGTGAATGGGAAGTACTAAGGAAATTTGCCTCCTTGGGAACTCCATGTAGCTGGTGGCTTTTGTGATTGAAATAGCATCAATAAATGTTGATATAGTGAAAAGACACAAACGTGTGTGGAACTGCTTATCTCTGATCTTGCACTGCTCATGAAAGAAGAAATGCAAAGGAAACCAAATAGTCGTGATTTGAGAAAATTGCACTCTCCAGTAAAAATAAATATGACTATAACGTAAAATATATTACTGAAAATGGTAGATAAAACTAGTAAGAAGAAAAATATAATCTAAGATTCAGTGCTAACAATTGTTTTAAAGCTTTGCTTTTCATTAAGAGTTTCATTTATATATATGAATTTTACATATACAATTTAATAAAAGCTATAAAGATCTAAGGAGTTCATAAACTGAAAGGGTTTTAAGAACATGATAAAAAAAAAGTCTTACCCAAATACAAAGAATCACTACCAAATGTTATAAAGTGTCAAAGTCAATTCTTTTTTCTCTTCTCAATTCTGGAGAATGATTTTGTGCATTCTAAAGTATAAATTTACTGCTGCAGTTTTCAGCTCCAACAGCTCTGTTATCCTGGCTCAGTGATTCCCTGAGTTTATATACAAAGCCAATCTCTGTGTTTCTCACAGTCTGTAAACAAAATATGTCCTTTTTCAGAATGGAAACTATTGTATTGCTTTAAAGGGGCTATACTTCAGAAAGAGTTTTAAAATGAATGCTTAGTAAATTGTCTTTTAAATATTAAGCATAATTAAACATAACATTAAACACAGGGGCAGTAAAATTAGAACAAAGATTAACTCTTGAATATAGGTACAAGACCAGAGTACTTTTGCCTCTGAAATGAGTACCCTATTGAGAGATATGAGATGTGTTCGATAAGTTACTCATGTAAATCTTTTCAAGCAACATACTGCACCATCAGAAATATGCCACTCTAACACGTAACTGATACACATTTTACTGAAATCAAATTCATTGTTATCTATTTTTGATGAAGTAACAGTGCTATACCAGAATCTTTTTCTTGATTGAAAAAGATTTTCAATCTTTTTTTATGTTATGTTTTTAATAACATAAATATGCCTCTGCATCTTCAGTTCTGCTTATCAGAGTTAGAACATTGATTCTAGATCTTTGTTCTTTAAACATATATAACCCTGGTGGAAAACAGCAATTCATAAAGCTATAGCGAGAATATTATCTAAGAAATGATCAACCACCTTTGTAGTAATTCTAAGCTGACAAAAATGTAATAATAATACAATAAAGTCTTTTAATCTAAAATTTGCCACATCCTCTTTCTTTGTATGTCCAAGAGGAAGCTGCTACATCAAGGAGTATTAGTTATTGATATGAGGAGTATTTCCCAATCTAAGAAATTGATGTTCTGTGTTTTATTACAATAATATAGCAAATTTGATTATTGCAAATACTTTCCAACAAAACTGATCAACTTCAGATGGATTTATAAAATCACATTTCTCAATAATAACTCTCCTCCATGATCTGACCCTGAAATTTCTGTGACCCCACAAAAATAGCAAATAGCCCTAGAAGTTAATCTTTCTAAATACCTTAACTTAAACAAGTTGCCTTAAAGGAAATGTAAATTATTCATGTGCGTGTAAAGTATTTTACAATACTGCATCCCGCCCCCCACCATCTTCCCTTTAGAACTTTAACTAAAGGTGTAATAAAATTGTACACATCTTACTATGCTTTAATTTTTAAAGCAGATGTAAAAATGTTCAAAACTAAACTACTCTAACCCCAGTATTTATCTACCATTCTTCTCTCTTCTCACCTATATTCTAAAATAAAAAGAAAAAAGAAAAACGACTTCAAAAAATGCAATGTTTGTGGGAGACAAATATGCGCATATGAGGGCCAACAAAATACTGAGTAATGGGCTTTCACAATAAGATAAGCCCTAGACTTTGCTCTTGAGGTGCTTATGGTCCAGTGAAGGAAAAAACTTGCCAACAAACTATTATAGCACCAGATGACAAGTGCCGTAACAGAGAAACACACAATGCATTCTAGAAGCATTAAGAAAACAATTACTGTCTCTACGTGAGATAAGTAGAAAGATTTTGTAAGATCCGATGTTAAAAATACTCAGAAAAGAACACCTCATAGCAATGTCCAGGGACCATTTGTTAATTGGGCTCGGTGGTGGCTAGGACAATGTACTCTGTGCCCATTCTGTGTTGAATCTTAAGGAGCTGCATTCCTTCATATTAATAGACAAATCAAGCTGTGAGTGTGGATGAACAATGGGCAGTGGTTTCAACTAGGCACCTCCTGCAGATATATTTGGTGTGCCACATCCTATGTCTTTAAAAAAACTTTATTTGAATGTCTTTAGACATATCATGTTCCCAAGTTTATTATATGTATCTTATCACTCCCTAGTATCTCACATGCCGCCAGCTTCATTCATAATTGTACCTTCTTAACATTTATTTGGCTCTGCTGGGATAGTATCTTTATGGTTCTCAACTAAGACTTAAATGTAAGATATTTCTTATGGAAAGCATAACAGAAGATTGATTAATAAGAATAAAAGAACCCCAGTGGACAAAAATGTACATTTTTATAAATTCTATGTATTTAAAAAAATAACAAATTTCACCCACGTAGCCATTTGGGATAAAACCAAGAAATACACAGGTCATTTTTTGTTTTTATTTTGGATTTTCTTTATTATGTTATATTTATTTTTTGGACAGGGATTTGGTCAATGGACTCTAAATGACTATGCCCCAACATGTGTGCTATATTTTTTACTGAAATTTTATATTTAAACTGATGACTGAGTGACTTAAACACATGTTTTAGGACACTAATAGTTGTATTTCAGATACTTTTCTAATAGGAATAAGAATTATTTGGGGCATGAATGTAGGCTGCTTTTCTTTCTAACTCTCCTTAATCTTACTGTGTAGGCAGATGTCTGCTTTGCCAAGCACAACACCAGAATTAAATCCAACTTTGATGACCTTATATTGGTATAAGCTGTTTAAGGAACATATTCCTCAACAGTGACGTCAACATAAGGATGATTCTCACTAATCAATATTAACTCAATGTTGCACCCATAAATGTTCTTCTTAAAATCATGATTTTTTTCACTTACTCTTAATTAAGAAGTAATGAAGTTTACCTTGACTATAAATGTTGTACATAATGAATAAACCTAAGAAATCTTTAGGTTTCATTCTGCATTTAAAATATCTTTGCCACTAGCATGGGAAAAACCTTGATTATGTAATTTTTGCATTGCCCTGAGACTTTGAAAAATGGGAAAAAATGAGTTATATTGCTACTTGGAGTTTGTATATAGCAGTAGGTTCTCTTTTAAAATGTACCTGCATTTGTAATTTCCTGTGAACTAAGAAAATAATAATCATTGTCTATTATTGCCAATATAGTAGCAGCAGTGAATCAGCTCACTGCCTTCTTCAGGGTGATAACAGAATAAATGATTCCACAGATGTATGCTGCTTGATGCTTTTTAATAATACTCAACTGATGATAGATGCCAAGGATTAACTTACCATAAAAGTACTGAATCCATTAATATGGGCTCATGTGCCCTAAGGGAAACTCTTTATATGTATATTTTGTGTGGTTGTGTGTTTGATCACTGGCTCAATAAGGTAACGGCCAGAAAGTCTGTTTTATTTCTCTTAAAGTAAGCAGGCATCTAACTATATAAAAACTCTGTTATGTGAATATTCATTAAGTATACAAGTTTTCAGGAGTGAGTGTTGAAGAGACAATGATACCCTCAAACACATTTATGATGATTTTAAGGTACAATCAGTTTCGAAGTAAGTGTTGTAATCAAATACAGAAATTTCATGAAGAAGAAATGACATAAACTTACAGTGTAGAATTCATGAAGTGAATTTTTAAAAAGCTATTTTCCACATCAATATTTCCCCTCTCCTTTACTGCTTTCCCATAAACTCATTTACAGTGAGTGATGGCTAACTTGTTACTTAGTCATGTCCAAGTATATTTGCAGTTGAAAAGATGTCTGCAGGAAAAAAGCTACATTTAACTCCCACCAAAAATTTCACTGATTATCCCTCCAGAAACCAGAGTCAGAGTCTGCAGAAACATTCAGAGAAAGATGCCCTGATCAGGGTATGGTGCTCCATATATTACCCTCTTTCCTGTTTTAATAATGTTATACAAGTCAGTTGTTACTAGACAGCCCCATACATGCTACATCACCCCCATGGTGCTGATTTGATATTTATATATGGCTTATAGAAGTAAAAGTATTTTATATCCTATTGTATGCACATCTTACATCCTCTTTGGCACCAGCATATAGTAGTACCCCCTTATCTCTCACCCTATACCAGGAACTACTGAGAATCTACTACAGGGTGAGATTATGTCCTCCCAGGGCACAGGGAAAGTCTTCAATTTGTCATGCCTTAAGAATACTTCTGAGACAAAACATTTTGATGTGTCTGTCTGTTTATATGTTGTTATATTGTGTTGTTTGCACAGTGAGGGGGCTGGTGAAGGAGAGATATGATGTGTGTCTTTGATTTCACATAATATAGATACCTTCCCATTCCACCATTCAGTATTAATAAATAATTTCTTGTGTGGTTACTATGTCCTAGGTATTGTGATAAATAGACACTTATCTCAAGCAATTCTTACATCAAACATTATGAAGTAGAAACATTCCATGCTCATGGACGGGAAGAATCAATATCGTGAAAATGGCCATACTGCCCAAATAAATTTATAGATTCAATGCCATCCCCATCAAGCTACTATTTACTTTCTTCACAGAACCAGAAAAAACTACTTTAAATTTCATATGGAATCAAAAAAGAGCCTGTGTAGCCAAGACAATCCTAAGCAAAAAGAACAAAGCTGGAGGCATCAAGCTGCCTGACTTCAAACTATACTACAAGGCTACAGTAATCAAAGCAGCATGGTACTGGTATCAAAACAGATATATAGACCAATTGAACAGAACAGAGGCCTCCGAAATAACACAACATATCTACAACCACCTGATCTTTGACAAACCTGACAAAAATAAGCAATGGGGAAAGGATTCCCTATTTAATAAATGGTGCTGGGAAAACTGGCTAGCCATATGCAGAAAACAGAAACTGGACCCCTTCCTTACACCTTATACAGAAATTAACTCAAGATGGATCAAAAACTTAAATGTAAAACCTAAAACTATAAAAACCCTAGAAGAAAACCTAGGCAATACTATTCAGGACTTAGGCATGGACAAAGATTTCATGACTAAATTGCCAAAACCAATTGCAATAAAAGGCAAAATTGACAAATAGGATCTAATTAAACTAAAGAGCTTCTGCTCAGCAAAATAAACTATCTCAGAGAGAACACTCAATCTAAAGAATGGGAGAAAATTTGTGCAATCTATCCATCTGACAATGGTCTAATATCCAGCATCTACAAGGAACTTAAACAAATTTACAAGAAAAAAACACACAACCCCACCAAAAAGTGGGCAAAGGATATGGACAGACTCTTCTCAAAATAAGGCATTTGTGAAGCTAACAAACAAATGAAAAAAAAAGCTCACCATCACTGGTCATTAAAGAAATGCAAATCAAAACCAAAATGAAGATACCATGTCACGCCAGTTAGAATGGTGATCATTAAAAAGTCTGGAAACAACAGATGCTGGCGAGTATGCGGAGAAATAGGAACACTTTTACACTGTGGATGGGAGTGTAAATACTTTAACCATTGTGGAAGACAGTGTGGTGATCCCTCAAGGATGTAGAACCAGAAATACCATTTGACCCAGCAATCCCATTACTGAGTATATACCCAAAGGATTATTAATCATTCTACTATAAAAAGACACATGCACACGTGTGTTTATTTTACAGCACTATTTACAATAGCAAAGACTTGGAACCAACCCAAATGCCCATCAGTGATGGACTGGATAAAGAAAATGTGGCACATATACACCATGGAATACTATGCATCCATAATAAAGAATAAGTTTATGTCCTTTTCAGGTACATGGGTGAAGTTGGAAACCATCATCCTCAGCAAACTAACATAGGAACGGAAAACCAAACACCACATGTTCTCACTCATAAGTGGGAGCTGATCAATGAGAACACATGGATGCAGGGAGGGGAACGTCACACAATGGGGACTGTTGGGGGGTTGGGGGAAAGGGGAGGGAGAGCATTAGGACAAATACTTAATGCATGTGGAGCTTAAAACCTAGATGATGGGTTGATAGGTGCTGCAAACCACCATGGCACAGGTATACTTACGTAACAAACCTGCACGTTCAGCATATGTATCACAGAACTTACAGTAAAATAAAAAAAAAAAAATGTGCCCAGGTAAATTTTATCTAGGTTAAATATAATTAACTACAAATTCTAAAGTAAATTATTTTAAATTAAAAAAAAAGAAGCTATTGTATGCCAGTTTCACAGCAGTGCTCCTAAAAGTCAAATAATATACCCAAAGTCACAAAGCTGGTACAAGGTGGAGTTGAGATGCAAACCCAGGTGTGTTTGATGCCTGAACCAATATAATTAAGCAAAATATTAAACTGCACCTACTGACTGGTAAGTAATGAGATATTTCACAGTACTAGTAAGATCAACCATTTATGGAGTACTTACTATATTCTAGGCACCATACTGAATCCTTACCTTGTATCATCTCATTTAATATTATCAGTAGCTGTATGGTATAGCCTCTATTTTCATCACCATGTTATAGATGATGCTACTAAGATTAGACAGATTAAATACTTCAAAGTCTGGTAAATGGGAATTAAAATCCCCATTGAGTTTACCAGTTCCAGAGGTCTAACTCTTAACAATTACTTTATATGTGTTTCTCCATCATAAAACACAGCCCAGTATCCATAGTACTATGGTGAAATCATAAACATAATGATATTTTGGCCTACACATTATTTGCTTTCAATAAGATATCAGCAATATACTCTTCTTTTTGTTTTTATGGCAAAAAAAATGCCATTGAATGTCAATTTACTAATTTTCAGTAATTCTCCCTTTGGGGTAATATACATTCCTTATTTGTGCAAAATATCGCTTGTGTTGTGTCTAGTATAGGGCAAATACTATTTAGGGATCAGACAAAGACAGTCAAAAATCCCTTTGCTCATATAAGTTATATTCCGGTTTTCGGGAGATAGGCAATAAATACGGGAACTAACAATATAGGCAGTCTTTCAGATATGGATAATTGCTATGAAGGGTAATAAATCAGGGAAGATAAATGTGCTGAGTGAAAAACCATTATTTATTAATACTGGATGGTGAAATGAGAAGGTACCTGTGTGGTATGAAGTTAAAGACACCAGTAATACCTCTCTTTCACCACCACCAGCACACACAACACAACACGTATGTAAGCTTACAGGCACATTAAAAAATTGTGTCTGATGTTTAATTGTTCACAGTTTCTGTTGTTCCAGAGTCCTGACACGGCTTAGCTGAGTTCTCTTCAAAGCTGCAATCAAAGTGTAAGTCAGGGTGGACTCTCATCTAAGGCCCTAAGATTTGACTACAGCAGAATACACCTCCAGGCTCACATACATAATTGTCGAGAGCATTTAGTTCCTTGCAGGCTGCCAGACTAAGGGCTACAGATTTTTGCTGGTGACCAGCCAGAGACTGCCTTCAGTTTCTTACCACAGGGCAGCTCCCAACAGGGCAGCTTGCTTCCTCAAAGCAACAATGGTGAGAGTCTCCTAGAAGACAGGATACAATCTTATGTAACATTATCACAAACATGATATCCCATCACCTTTCCTGTTCTATTGGAAAGAAGCAGTCCACAGTTTCTGGCAACAGTCAGTGGGGAGAGGATTAACAAGGGAACAAACATAGAAGTGGGCATCATAGGGTCCATATTACACTATGTCCTCACATGATATAAACGCATAGCAATTATATATATTATATATATATATATAAAATGTATGTTCAATATGTAAGTATTCAAAAATATATAACTGCGTTTAAAGAAATAAAAAGTCTGTAGACAAGGAAAAAAATGAAAACAAACTCAAAGCAGAAAATGGAGCTAAAGCCACAGGACTGTTGATATTCTATCAGAAGACAGGCCATGATAGACTAGATCTAAGCTCAATTGGGATAAAGGGGCTAAAATTGTCCCACACCAGAAGATGAACTAGGGCCATTAGCACTGTTTGAAGCTGGTCGTTAGGGGAGGTACCAACCTCTCCCACTAAAAAATAAACTGGGAAAATAGGTTGTTTCACATCACTTCCAAAAACCTGAAATGTACATTAAAAAAATGCTGCAGTCTCAGGAATAAGGAGGATACATGTACAGTTCTAGACCTAGTGACTAGCTGACTTCATGATTGAATCTATTGTTTTCCAAATATCACTTTGAAAGGAAGATCTTAAAATTTCTATATGAGTCCAGTTTTTAAGAAGATGTTCAACAGAAGTTTTCATTGAGAAATTGCAAATTAAACAAGAGTTAAATGTCACTACACACCTATTACAATGGTTAAATCTAAAAAAAAAAATATCTAATACTGATGAGGATGTGAAACAATAGGAATTTTCATTCACGGCTGGGTGGAAGGCAACTTTTGCAGATAGTATCGCCACTTTTGCAGACAGTTTGGCAATTTCTCACACAGCTAAACAAACCAACAAGTGTGCTCTTAGGTTTTCATCCAACTTATTTGAAAACTGTGTCGACACAAAAACTTGCATTCAAATGTCTACAGAAAATTTATTTATAATCACCAATAACTGGAAGCAACCAAATTGTTCTTCAATGGGTGAATTGATAAACAGTGATACATCAATATAATAAAATATTACTCAGTGATAAAAATAAATTGATTAGAAAGCCACAAAAGTATTAAACTAAAAATGCATATAATTAAGTAAAAGAAAATAGTCTGAAAAGGTTATATACTACATGATTTCCACCATAATGAAAAAAAACAAAACTATAGAGAGTAAAAAGATCAGTGCTTAGCAGCAGTTTAGGGGGAAAAAGGAAGCATTGAATAAATAAAGTAGAGGGCATTTTAAGGCAGTGAAACCATTCTGTATGATGCTATAATGGAGGATACATGACACCATGCATTTTTTCAAACTATGTTCAAATTTATAGCATTTTAAAAAGTGAACCTTTATGTATAGAAATGTTTTGAGAGAATACAATTTTATTTATAAAAGATAAGAAAAATATAAATAATACACTGAAATGATAAAAAATGACAGACATTCTAATGTGGAGGATGCAGATATAAAAAGGTCTAACATGATTGTGATTAAACTTTTAATTTAGTTGGGAAGATTCTCTCAGTATAGTAATAAACCATCATCTAATAAAAGGACATCAAGTGTTCAAGTGATACCAACATTTCTTTAATTAACAAATTATTAAAGACATTTGTTGTATGTACTGTTTTTCATTTTATTATGTACAATATTTGCCCTGAACAAAAACCAAAGGCATAACATTAGAAACATTACCTATTTTGTCAAGAAGATAAGTTAATAATGCTAACATCCTCCTTTTCAGGTATCAAATTTTATATAAATGAGAATTTAAATGCCTAGAATGGTCAAATTGCATGGCACAAAAAACTTTCTTGTACATTTCAAAATAGCAAGAAGAGATAATTCTGAATGTTCTCACCACAAAGAAATGGTAAATGTTTGAGGTAATGGACTTGTTAATTACCTTGATTTAGTCTTTACACAATGCATACATGTATCAAAACAACAAATTGCACCCCATAAATATGTACAATTATTGTGTCAAAAACAAAATTTTTAAAAATATCAATAATTATTCGTGATTATTAGTCAGAAAATTTAATAATGAAAATAGTGCCATTTATGTGTGTTCACTAGTTAAGATTCACTAGTACCACTATTTTCAACAGTTGTTGAGCAGAAACATTACATTTCAGAAGAATTAGAATTCATGCTATTACTTATACAAGTTTAAATTATTGCAAATCAGTGTGTATAGAGCTAAAGAATACACATATATGTCATTAAAAACAAAATCATTCAGAATAACAATTCAAAAAATAAGGGTCGAAGTTATATCTGGAGAAAGACAGTAAAATCAATTGCAGCTTCAATTGATTATGTAATATTCTCTATCATTTTATTTTCTGACTATATTCTTATTTAAAATGTCACACAGTAACATTTGAAAAACTGAGTGATAGGTATATGGGTGCTTATTATTTTGTATATTATTTTCTTTATGTTTAAAATATTTTTTAAACTAAAACAAAACTATCATATCTCACAAAAAATGATTTGGCTATATTCACTAATTTCTTAACTGTAAGCTTTTCTAATTCACACATTGGCATTTGAAAACTGGCTCTCCTCACTCATTCTATCCCTGTGTAATACCTATTTATATTACATGCTTAATATGTGTTAAGGCCTGTGCAATGTATTTTAAATACAATACCTCATTTAATCCACGCAGAGTGTTCACTGATTCATTTTCTTAAGACACTGATAGTGGTATGTCATTTATTTTCTCAGATGTTCTCAATGTTGATTTTTGTCTACCTAATACAAATTCAAACTTCTTAGTCTGTCATTTAATACCCTCTGTAATCAGATTCGTGTTAAGAGAAGCAAGTTAGACTTCAAGAGCGTATAATTTGTGATTATAGGTCACGTGGAGGCTTTAAGTGAGACATAGGTTATATATGCATGTAAGAACCAGGTACTTGCCTTTATTGCAGGAAGCTGGAGGAAATGAAGCCTCAAGAGTCTGTAAGTCACCAATGTAAAAGGTGGAAAATATGTCCAATACAGAGTAGGAATTAGAAAATTAGTTACAATTAATATAAAAAGCAAGGTGGAGATTGACATAATAAGAGGTCGAGTAGAGGAGTAAAAATCGTAAGTGCTTGTGGTGTCTATAGGTTCAGCAGATTGATTCGTTCTTCACTGGACTCTCTTATTTAAGAGAATTTGAGTGGAAACTCTTAAGTTTGCTCTGAACTCCTATGGTTAGGACACTTTTATTAAATTATTTTTTTCTAGATCTCTGTAAACCTAAAGCAGAGTTTGCTGTTTTTACATTAATAAATGTAGCGTTTCAGTTAAATGTCATTATTTATTTTTATTGTGAGATGATATAACAAAAGGTATGATCCTTTTTTAAGTTTTAATTTTAGTGAGTATATAGCAGGTGTATATATTTATGGGGTACATGGGATGTTTTGATCCAGGCATGCAATATGAAATAATGACATATTAAAAAAAATGTAGTTTCCATCCCCTCAAGCATTTTTCCTTTGTGTTATAAAAAATTCAATTACACTCCTTTAGCTATTTTAAAATGAATTTATTATTGACTATAGTCACCCTGGTATGCTATCAAATAGTATGTCTTATTCATTCTTTCTATTTTTTGTACCCATTAACTATCCAACCTTGTCCCCATCACCCCCACTACCCTTCCCAGCCTCTGGTAACCATTCTTCTACTCTCTGTGCTCATAGGTTCAATTGTTTTGATTTTTAGATTCCACAAATAAGTTCAAACACGTGATGTTTGTCTTTCTGTGCCTGGCTTGTTTCACTTAGCATAATGACTTCCAGTTCCATCCATGTCATTGCAAATGACTGGATCTCATATTTTTTATGGCTGTATATTACTCCATTGTGTCTATGTTCCATATTTTCTTAATTCATTCATATGTTGATGAACACTTAGGTTGCTTCCAAATCTTAACTGTTGTGAATAGTCCTACAACAAACATGGAAGTGCAGAGATCTCTTTGTTAGACAGATTTCCTTTCTCTGGGATATATACCCAACAGTGGGATTGCTACATCATATAGTAGCTCTATTTTTGGTGTTTTGAGAAACTTCCAAACTGTTCTATTTAGTGGTTGTACTAACTTACGTTCCCACCCACAGTGTACAAAGGTTGCCTTTTCTCCACATCCTGACAAGCATTTGTTATTGCCTGTCTTTGGTTATAAGCCATTTTAACTGGGATAATAGGACATCTCATTGTAGTTTTTATTTTACATTTCTCTGATATTCTATGATGTTGAGAACTTTTTCATATGCCTGTTTGCCATTTGGATGTTTTCTTTTGATCAAATCTTTTGCCCACTTTTTGATTTGGTTATTACATTTCTACCTATACAATTGTTTGAACTCCTTTTCTATTCTGGTTATTAATCGCTTATCAGATGAGTAATTTGCAAATATTTTTCCCATTCTATTTACTGTTTCTTCATTTTGTTGATTGTATCATTTGCTGTCCATTTTTGCTTTGGTTGCCTGTGGTTGTGGGGTATTGCTCAAGAAATGTTTGTCCAGACCAATGTCCTAGAGATTTTTCTCAAAGTTTTCTTGTAGTAGTTTCATAGTTTGAGGTCTTAGACTTAAGTCTTTAATTTATTTTGATTCACGTTTTGTATATGGCAAGAGATAGGGGTCTAGTTTCATTCTCCTGCATGTGGATATCCAGTTTCCCAACATCAGCTATTGAAGACTGACTTTTCCCCAATATTCTTGGCACCTTTGTTGAAAATGAGTTCCCTTTAAGTGTGTGGATACACACAAAATAAGCTGATCTTTTATATTTCTTTCCCTTGTCTCACAAAAAAATCCATAAATGAAGTTGCAAAATTAAATTAACCCTTTTTTCTTCCATATATATCAGGCCTGAGTAGTCCGTAAAGGCTACAAGTAAGTTAAATGTAGAAGTGGCTTAAATGTCCGTGATTCCTACTCCTGTTACACTGTACACTGACTTCTTTCTCCCAACCTTATCTCCAAACTATAGTGTTATGGGGAGTACCCTATGATATGGTTTGGATGTGTATTTCCTCTAAATCTCATATTGAAATGTGGTCCCCAATGTTGGAGGTGAGGCCTAATGGAAGAGTTTGCATCATGGAGGTGAATCCCTCATGAGTGTCTTGGTGCTGTCCTCGCAGTAATGAGTGAGCTGTCACTCTAAGACTTCACATGAGATCTGGTTGTTTAAAAGAGCCCGGCAACCCCTTCTCCTCTATCTTACTTCCTCTCTCACCATGTAACACCCTGGCTTCCCTTCACTTTCCATTATGACTGTAAGTTTCTTGAAACCATCACCAAAAGCAAATGCTGGCACTATGATTCATGTATAGCCTGCAGAACTGTGAGCCAAATAAACTTATTTTCCTTATAAGTTAACCAGCTTCAGATATTCCTGTGTAGCAACACAAAGAAACTAATACACCCTATGATTAGTTGACAGAAGAAGAAAACTGGGCTGGTTCACAGATCTTTCTGCTTAATATTCAGGCACCAGTCCCAAGTTAACAGCTAACATACTATAGCCCCTTTCTGGAATATTCCTGAAGGGCAGTAGTGGAGGAAAACCTTGTAAGTGGGCAGGACTACAGTCAGTGCACGAGATTGTGTACTTTGCTTGGAAAGGAAAATGGCCAGATATGAGATTCCATAACCACACATGGACTATAGCCAAAGTTTTGGCTGGATGGTATGGAACTGGGAAAGAACTTGATTGAGAAACTGGTTACAAAGGTATTTGGGGAAGAGGTATGTGGGTAGACCTCTCTGAATGGACAAAGGACACAAATATGTTTATGTTTCATATGAATGCTTAACAAAGCATGACCTCAGCAGAGAAAAATTTTAATATCAAGTTGATTGTTTAATAATCAAATATGACCCATATTGTTGATACCAGCAAGCCTTGTTCCCAGTCATCTCTGTTATCACCCAATGAGCTCATAAACAAAGTAGCCTTGGTGGCAGAGATGGAGTTTCTGCATGGGCTCAGCAACATGGACTTGCATTCACCATGGACAAATTGGCTGTGACTATTGCTGAGTAACCAATCTGTCACAGCAGAGGCCAATTATGAGCCCCAAGTACAGCACCATTCTCCAGGGTGATCAGCCAGCTACCTGGTGGTAGGTTGATTACATTGGACCACTGCCATCATGGAAGGGCCAGCATTTTGCATTTACTGAATGATACAGTTTAGATATTTGTCCCCTCAAAATATCATGTTGAAATTTGATCCACAATGTTGAAGGTAGGGCCTGGTGTGAGGTGTTTTGGTCATGTGAGTGGATTCTTCATGAAAGACTTGGTGCCATTATTGAAGTAATGAGTGACTTCTCACTCTATTAGTTCCTGTGAGATATGATCGTTAAAAAAAATCCGGCACCTCTATCCCCTCTCTCTCTTGCTTCTTTCTCACCATGTGATCTGCACACATCAATCACATCAATTTCTTTTTCCCTTTCATCATAAGTGGAAGCTTTCTGAAGTTCTAACCAGAAGCACATGTTCATGCCATGCATCCTATACAGCTTGCAGAAGAGTGAGCCAAATAAACCTCTTTTCTTTATGCATTGCCCAGCCTCAGGTATTTCTTTAGATAAATGTAAATGAAATAGGACACTGGAATAGACACTTATTCTGAATATAAATTTGCCTATTCTGTACTCAATGTTTCTGCCAAAACTACCATCCCTGAACTTATAGAATGCTTTATCTATAGTTATGGCATTCCACACAGTATTGTTTTTGAACAAGGAATTAACTTCACAGTCAAAAAAGTGTGGCAATGGGTTTATGCTCATGAACTTTACTAGTATTACAATGTTCTTCACCTTACCAAAGCAGATGGCTTGATAGAACAATGGGATAATTTTTGAAATTATTAATTATTAATAATATTTATTATAACAATTCAATATTCAGTAACAATGCTGACTAGGTGGTAATATCTAGGAGACCTAGGGCAAAGTTCTCCAGAAGGGGATATATGCCATAAATCAGTGTCCAATATATAATACTGTTTTTCCCATTACCAGAATTCACTGGTCTAGGAATCAAGATGTAGAAATGGGCATGACACAACTCACAATTACTCCTAGTGACCAACTACAAAATTTTTGCTTTCTGTTTTCACAACTTTATGCTCTGCCGGCTTAGGGATCTTAGTTCCAGAAGAAGAAATGCTTTCACTGGGAGGCACAATAGTGATTCCATTGAACTGGAAGTTAAGAGTATTACCAAGTTATTTCCAGCTCCTCATGCCTTTCAGTCTGTAAGTCAAGTGAGGTATGGTGTTGGCTGGGGTAAGTGATTCAGACTATCAAAAGGAAATTGAACTATTTCTCCACAATGGAGATAAGAAAGAGTATTCCTGGAATACAGTAGATTCTTTAGGGTGTCTCTACGTGCTACCATGCCCTGTGATTAACGTCAATAGGAAACTGCAAAAACATAATCCAGGCAGGACTATAAATAGCTCAGACCCTTATGAAAGGAAGGTTTAGATCGCCCTACTAGGTTAAAAAAACTACCACTTGCTGAGGTGCTTCCTGGAGGCAAAGGGAATACAGAATGTGTAGTAGAAAAAAATAGTTACAAATACCAGCTATGACCATATGAATGGTTACAGTACTGAAGACTGTAATTGTCATGAGTATGTCCTGCTTTTTGATAAGAATGCCATTATGTTATGTGAGTATGTGTATATATATATATATGTACATCTATTAATCAAGTATCTTTGTTTTTTCTCCATTATTCCTTTATCATGAAACTTAAGATTTATTGACTTTATATCAGTATTAAAGTAGTATTAATTTTAAATTATAATATTTAAGTTAAGGGATATCAGAAGAGTAAACATCACTCAAGGACTTTATCTTCTCTTCTGGGGAAGATATTTGTACATGTATGATTGTAAGCAGGGTAGTTGTGTAATGTTGGGTACAACTATGGGATTGTTATTGTCTTTATTTGGAGATTAATTATGGTTTAAGGAGATGTGTACGGGTGCCACGTTGATGAGGAGTGGATGTGTGGTAGTTAATATTAGGTGTCAACCTGACTTGGTTAAGAGAAATACAGATAACTGGTAAAGCATTATTTTTGGGTATGTCTGTGAAGGTGTTATGGGGAAAGATTCACATCATAGTCAGTAAACTGGGTAAGAAAAATCTGCACTCATCCAATATGGGCAGGCACCAAATCTATTCAGGGCTCAGATTTTCAAAAAGGCAGAAGAAATGTGAATTTGCTATCTTTTCTGGAGCTGGGTCACCCATCTTCTCATCTAAACTTTGCACCAGCAGCCACCCAAATTCTCAGTCCTTTGAACTTGGACTTAGCTAACAGCTTTGCTGGTTCTTGAGCTTGCAGGTGGTATATAGTGGGTATTCTCAGCTTCCATAAACAGGTGAGTCAATTCCCATGGTAAACCTTCTCTCATCTATCTCTGTCTGTCTATCTATCTGTCTATCTCTCTATCTGTCTATATCCTATCTGTTTTGTTTCTCTGAAGAACCCTAATTCACCAAAAGAATAGAGTAATTACTAACAGTTTGGCCCATTTCTTTTTAAAAAATTTTAAAAATATTTTTGGGTACATAGTAGGTGTATATATTTATGGGGTACATGAGATGTTTTGATATAGGTATGAAATGTGAAATAAGCACATTCATTTTTTATACAAAAACCAACAAGCAATTATCATTTTTGTAGAAGTAATTTTGTTCAAATATGTTAATAAATGCATATCTTAAATGATAATGTTGTGGGATGCAGAAAGTCCCCTTAGGTTTTGCACAGAAACAAGTAGCTCTGAATTTTTGTAACTCTGCATATTTCTTATATCTCTCTAATAAGCCTTATTTATATCTAGTGTGTTTTGTTTAATGATTATGAGAATATAAGCTTTTTGAAAGAGGATGTAAATTTAATGTGTTTCTATAATCTCTATAGCACCTACACCCAGTAGACGCACAATAGATGTTTACTAAGGAATAAATATAAGAAACTTAAATGAGTGCCTGTCAAAGGACTTTAATGATCAGCTACTTAGTCATATATACAATATTAAAAGAATTCTGACTATAAAAGATGTTGTAGAGAGTCTCTCACAAATTAGTCAACAATAAACCTGAATAAGAAAGTAAGATTATAAAAAATGTATATAATAAAATTAGGCATGTGTTAATTTACACTTCTGACCAAGATGGAGGTACAGAAACCAGAATTACCCTCATACATGAAGCAGCCAAAAAACTGACAAATATATAAAACAACAGTTTTACAAAACACTGTACATCAGACAACAGAGGACAGTGATCTTTGAGATAGAATAAATAAACAAATGAGACTCTGATTGCACCAGCTACTGCTTTGCAAAGGTTTCCAGACCCCAGAAAGAGCAAAGCAGACTTTCTGAGTTGAAGATAGAATCCACAAAGGTTAAGGCATCTCAATTTTTTTCAGACAGAGTGCTGGAGAGGAGAAAACTGAAAAGAAAAAAAAATCTACGGATCTGCAAAGAGTCCATCTTGAATAGTCAGCTGAAAACTGGCATTCATAAAGGCAACCACCTTAGGGTGGAAAAAGAATTGCCAAAAATGAACAGAGGGGTTAGTACTCAGCGGTCACACAGAACCAAAAATAGTTTCTGTTTCCACAAGACAGACAAAAAAGTCTTTGATTCATGGAAAATTGGAATGAGTACTCATTCGTATCTTTTATGATTCATGGGAAATAACCTTAAGCTAAGCATTATTCTGAGCCTGCCTAAAATGCCTTAAAAACAAGACTCAAGAGGATCAAACTCTTACAAGTAAGTTGACTGTGTTCTAGAATGAAGCTCAAAAATGCTTCTAAGAATTCACAAATATTTAGCACTGAATAATGTAAAATTCACAATGTATACATCAACCAATAAAAATTTCTTAAGCATGCAAAGACTCAAAAAAGTTTAACCCATTCTAAAGAGATAAATTAATCAATTGAAACTGACCCAGATTTGACACAGATTTTAGAATTATGAGATTAGAGAAAATAATTATAATTATTTTATACAGACATGGAAGATGTTTAAAAGACCCCAATCAAACCTTTGAGATTAAGAAATGCAATGTCTCTACCCAAAATACAAAAATTAGCCAAGTGTAGTGGCGGGCGCCTGTAATTTCAGCTACTCAGGAGGCTGAGGCAGAGAATTGTTTAAACCCGGGAGGCGGAGGTTGCAGTGAGCCGATATCGTGCCACTGCACTCCACTCTGGGTGACTGAGTGAGACTCCGTCTCAAAAAATAAATTTTATATATATATGTATATATGTATATATACATATATATATAAAATATATATAAAAATATATACGCATGTATATATACATATTATATATTCAGTATATATATGTGTGTGTGTGTATATATATATAATATACATATATATATACATATATATATACATATATATATATAATATACATATATATATATATACGTATATATATATATATACCTAATAGAATGAGCAGCTGTTAAGGACTGAATGTTTGTGTCCCCACTCACATTCGTATGTTAAAATCTAATCCCCGGTATGATGGTATTTGAAGGTGGAGACTTTGGAAGGCAATTAGGTCATGAGGATGGAGCCCTCAGAAATGGGAGTAGTGTTCTTAAAAACAAGAGGCCAAAGGGATAGCTCACTCTCTCTCTATCATGTGAGGATATTATAAGAAAGTGGCTCCCTGCAACCCAAAAGAGGAACCTCACCAGAACCTGACCATGCTGGTGCTCTGATCTCAGATTCTCAGCCTTCAGAACTGGGAGAAATAAATTTCTGTTTCTTCACAAGCCACCTAGTATATGGTATTTTTTATAGCAGCCTGAATTTACTACAACAGAAAATCAGTCATTGCAGTATAAGAGATCCATGAACTTAAAGATATAGCAGTAGAAACTTTCCAGCATATAACAGAGATTAAAAAAAAAAAAGCAGAGAACCAGTGAACTGTACTGTAATTTCAAGTGTCTTAATATATGTGTAATTGGAATTCTCAGAGAAGAGCAGAAAAGGATTAGAGGAAAAAAATATTTGAAATATAATGGCTGAAAACTTTCCAAATTGAAAGAAAATTCTAAAACTACCAATTCAGGGAGTTAACATCAAGCAAAAGAAACATGAAGTTATTACATTATGCCAAGGTAACTTAATTATGTGTTGCTGCATAACAAATTACTCCTAAGCATAGCAAATTAAAAAACATTTACTATCTCAGTTTCTGTGAATTAGAATTTCAGGTGTAGCTTAGTTTGATGACTCTGACTCAGGGTTTCTCATAAGGTTGCAATGAAAGTGTCATCAGGGAATTCAGTAATATCAAAGTTTGAATGAGAATGGTTCCTCTCACAAGCTCACTCACATGGCTATTGGCAGGCCTCAGGTCACTGCTGCTTGCTGGCTTAAAACATCAGCTCCATGTGTTTTTTCATAGGGCCACAACCTGGTGATATGGACAGGAAGCAGGAAAATACTGGGTAGAAGAGGGCAGTTCCCCAGCAAAGGCCCCACCCTCAAGCCTGGAAAGCCGTGGCCCTACATGGAAACAGGCATTCCTATTTTTGCACCCATATGTTGCCTTTTGGCCTGCTATGCCCCCCTGTCTTGTACCTATATAAACCCCAAACCCCAGGTTCCACGAGCAGAAGAGCAGATGAGCAGAAGAGTGGCAGAATGGCATGGCAGAGAAAGAGAGAAGAGAAGGAACATCTGAACATCCAGAGAAGTTCGGCTGGAGATAGTTGGAGAGATCAGCTGTGGGATGGTCAAACTTCAGGGGAAAATCATCTCACTCCATCCCCTTTCCAGCTACCTATCCATCCTGCTGAGAGCCACCTCCATCTGTCAATAAAATACCCTGCATTTGCCATCCTTCAATTTGTCCATGTGACCTGATTTTTCCTGGACACTGGACAAGAACCTGGGTACCAAGAGGGCACTGAACTGGTGAACACTTAAGCCATCTGTGGAAGGCAGAGCTAAAAGAGTACTGCAACATGCCTACTGGGGCTTTGAGAGTGGCAGGCATCCATCCCTAGACACTACCATGGGGCTTGAGCCCGAAAGTGCTTGCCCCAGTTTTTGTACTTGCCCATCCATGTGTTTCCACTAATGTAAGGGGTTTGAGTGCATGGCAGCCAAAGAGACAAGCCACACCCCTGTCACACATCCTGCGAGGGGGGACCGGGAACTCTCCCATTTCAATGGCAGTTGACTTCATTCAGAGCAAATGAGTAAATGAGTGAGATGATAAGAGAGAAAAGTGCTAAAGGCAAAAACCACAGTATTCTTGAAACCTCATCTCAAAATTGACATCCCATTAGTGTTGCCATATTCAATTTCTCACACATGAGTTACTAGCTTCAGTTCATTGTCAATACTATACAAAGACATGAACACCAGGAGGCAGGATCATTGGGGACCATCCTGAAAGTTTTCCTACCACATGATTCATGAATGCCAGAAGGCTACATCATAATCAAATTGCTAAAATAGAGCGATAAATTAAAAAGATTAAAGGCAGCCATAACAACAACAAAAAAATAACACATTACATACAAAGGGACAAAGATAGGGATAGCAACAGATTTGTGGTCAAGAAAGAAAATACAAGCAAGAAGACATAGGAGCAATATATTGTAGGGTCAGGAGGGGAAAAATTGAAGTACACTTATAAATTGTTTGTACTATGCATGAAGTAATATAATATTAGTGAAGGTTTAATATTTGAAAAGCACTCAGTTTATTTCACCAATAAGGAACTAAATAAGGGAAGCCATATAATTATCTCAAGAGACATAGATAAAGCATTTAACAGTCAAAGAAAAATGCCCAATAAGCAGTTAGATATAACATCAAGTGAGTGGTTTAAAGTATAATTAGATTTGGGAATTGATTACAAAGAAGTTAAAGGCGAAGTTCTAAAAATGAATGAGTTATCTTAGCAATTGCTAGTATTCACTTTTCACAAACTTCTGTTTCTTTACTGGATATTAAATTTTGGCTTTGACTAACTTCTAGGGCTGTTCTTCAGATACTATCTTTACTATGTTGGAATTCAATCTTGGTATACATAAATTCTATAACACTCTTGAAACTTAAGCAGAAAATTCATGCCTAGATTTTTTTCCTATGAATAAGCTTGGAAACCAAATCTTCTTTCTTTGCTCTTTCTTTCAAAAAATTTTCAATTTCTTGATCATATGCCTTGGAATTTGCATTGCTTTGGGATCCATTTAAAACCTCCATGTTGAAATTATCTTCCATATGGTTGAACCACTACTGTATATTAGGGCATATCTATGCTATTTATTTATTTACATTTTGATGCCCCTTGATGGGAATGACTCTGAGAGCTAGATTTGCCCTCCTAGCTGCTATTCCATTGTTGCTGACTCCCAGATGCTCAACATGATTAAAACCTTCCCTGTCCTATTGTTCATCTAACTTGCTCACTTTAGGAGGACTCCAGTATTACCTGATTCCAACCTTGAGAAATCTGCAGAGATTCTTAACCTTAAATAAATGAAAAGTCCTACTTGTTGGCTCTCTACCCTGTCAATTCTTACTTACATATCCCTACCTATTCCAACAACAAAAAAGAGACAGACATTAAATGAAACTTAGGTAAAACCAAAAGCTTTTTTTTTAAATTATCATGGGAAATTCTTAAGTGAAAGTTAAACCATAAGACTATTTTCCAATCTTAAAAAAAATCAATGAATTAGTCTGTCAGTATCTCATGTCATCCATAGTTATATTTATATTTGAATGTTGCATTTATTTTAATCTACCTTATTTTTAGAACAGCTTTAGATTTGCAGAAAATTTGAGATGGTACAAAGAATTCTTGCTTAACTTTACAGAGTCCTTTCCATTATTAACACCTTTAGTATTGTGAATATTCTACAAGAGATGAACCAATTTTGATACATTATTATTAACTAAATTTAATAGTTTATATTTGTTAGCTGTGTCACACTGTTCTTTCATTATTAACAACTTTATTGAGATATGTTTATTTACCATAAAAGTTACCTATTGAAAGTGTCAAATTCAATAGCTTTTAGTGTGTTGTGTATACAACACCACAATTGTAAAATATGAACATTTTATTACCCACAAAAAAGACCCCTTACCTCTTAGCCACACTCATTAATTCTCCCATCCTCCCCAGTCCTAAGCAATCACTAATCTACTTTCTGTCTCCATAGGTTTGGCTATTATGAACATTACATATAAATATTACCATACAATAGGTGATCCTTTGCAACTGTTTTCTTTCAATTAGTATAGTGTTGTCAAGGTTTATCCTTATTGTAATATGTATCAGCAGTCCATTCATTTTTATGCTTGAATAATTTTCCATTGTATGAATATACCACATTTTATTTACACCTTAATTCATTAGTGGATAATAAGTTGTTTATAATTTTTGGCTATTATTAATGCTTCATTGAACATTTGAGTAAAAGTTTTTGTATGCTTTTACGGTTTGTCTTACATATCAACTTAACTAGGCTTTTCAATCAAATGCTAATCCGGGGATTGCTATGAATGAATTTTATAGACATGGTTATCATCCACAACCACCTGAATTTAAGTAAAGGATATTCTTCTCTATAATGTGGGTAGATAGCCAATCAGTGGAAATACCTTATAAGCAAAACTGAGATTTCTCTGAAGAATAAGTTGTACCTCAAGACTAAAAAATCCAAGAGTTTCCAACCTGTTGGCCTGCCCTGTGGATTTTACCCTTGTGAGCCACCACAATCATGTGGGATAATTACTTCAAGTAAATAAATAAATATATATTTACTTATTCAAAACCTACACACAGCACCTTTATTTGTCTCTTCTGGAATTAGAAGTATGTTCAAGTTCTAACAGGTCCTAAAGAGTGAGGTCCAAAGTGTGGAGCACTAGGAGAAGCACTACACTTCAAAACAACTGCAAGATTTTTTTCAATGAATACACAGAAATTTCAAGAAATTGTATAGAAATAGATATTAAAGGTGTAGAAATATAATATTGTAAATTAAATCTGCAAAATTATAATTTTTAAATTATAAACTAAGTGATACATCTATGTATTATATAAATGGTTAAATTATATTAATTTTAAATTATATATAATTTTACATATTAATATAAATTTATAAATTATAAATTCAATTAAATTTATAAAATTGCAGCAGGAATATAAAATTGGTTCAGGTTGAATTTATTAATATTAGCCCATAATAGAGATTCTATACTCAATGTTGTAGCCCAAGGGCTTAGAAAGGGCTCTAGTAATTTACCAACTTATTGGTCTATGTTTCAGCTGACCAACCAAATAACCCTCTTACTAGGGTGATTGTGTATTGGAAAAAATAAGTAAACAGACTTTTTGGTGACTACTGGACACTGGCTCTACAGTCACACTAATTCCACAAGATGCAAATTGTCACTGTGCTCCACCAGTCAGAGTAAGGGCTTGTGGAGTCAGGTGAGTAATGAGGTTTTAGCCCAGGTCCATCTCACAGTGGGTATAGTGGGTGCCCAAACCCATTCTATGGTTTATTTCTCAAAATGAACAATAGGAATAGACATCCTTAGTACCTAACAGAATGCCCACATTGATTTTCTGACCTGTGGAGTAAGGGCTACTATGGAAGAAAATGTCAAATAGAAGTCATTAAAACTGTCTGTATGTAGGACAATAGTGAACATGAAGCAGTACTGCATTCCTGAAGTAAATGCAGAGATTAATCCCATCATCAAGGACTTAAAAGATTCAGGCATGGTGATTCTTATGATATCTTCATTCAACTCTCCTATTTGTCCTGGATAGAAAGTAAATGGATCATGAAGAATGAAAGCAGATTATAATAAACATAACCAGATAGTGACTCAACTCTTTACTGTTCCAGATGTGGTTTAATTGCTTGAGAAAATGAACATATTTCTTCTAGCTGGTATGTGAATATTGATATGGTAAATGAGTTTTTCTCAATATCTATTAAAAAAGACTTACAAAAGCAGTTTGAGTTGGTGAAGCAACCTTTATTATTCTGCCTCAGGAGCATAGAAACTCTGCACCCCTATCATTTAGTCAAAACAGACCTTGATTTACATCACCTTTTCATAAGCTATCACAATGATCCATTACATTGATGACATCATGCTGATTGGACCTAGTAAACAAGACCTAGTAGCCACTCTAAAGTTGTCATTAAACGTTTGAGTGGTAGATAGTGGAAAATACATCCAACAAAAATCCAATGACATCTCAGGTCGGAGAAACTTTTAGGAGTTCAATGGTGTGAGCCATGTTGAGATATCCCTTCTAAGGTGGAGAATACATTGTTTTCTTCAATCGCTCCTAAAACCCAAAATGAGTAATAATGTCTAATGGGACTCTTTTGATTTTAGAGAAAACATATTTCTAATTTGGGTGTACTACTCAAAAGCTGCTAGTTTTGAGTGGGACCAGAACAAGAGAAAGCTCTGCAACAGTTGATGTGCAAGCTGTTTTGTCACTTAGGCCATACGATCCATCTGAAATATTCAATTATGCTTTAATTATCAGAGGCAGAGAAAGATGCTGTTTGGAGGCTTTGGCAGATCCCTATAGGTGAATTACAGTGAAGTCCTTTAGGATTTTGAAGCAAAGTCTTGCCCTTCTCTGCCAATAACTCTTCCCTTTTTAAGAACAAGATTTCAGCTTGCTGCAAGGCTTAAGTACAGATTAAAGCTCAAATATGAGCCCCCAAATTATCCTGAGATCTAAGCTGCCCATTATTACCTGAGTGTCTGATCCACAAAGCCATACATTTGGGCATGCACAGCAGCACTCCCTTAAATGGAAATACCATATAGGACATTGGGCTCATGAATTTCCTGAAGGCACCAACAAGTTGCATGAGGAAATGGCACAAATTCCCATGATGCAATTCCTGCTGCATTATTTTTACTCTCCTAGCTCATTCCTTCAAACTGGATATTTTAAATTTTATTTTCTTGCCCAATTGTCATGGATTAAGCCTCCAGTACAATAATGAATAGAAGTGATGAAAGAATATATTGTTATTCTTACCTTTTCTTGATCTTATGGGGAAATCATTTAGTTTTTCACCATTAAGTATAATTCTAGCTGTGAACCTTTCATATATCTTTTATCGGGTTCAGGAAGTTTCTTTCTCTTCCTAGCTATTGGGGGTTTTATTACAAACGGATGTTAAATATTGTTAAATGATTTTTCTGTTTTTATTGAGGTGATTTTGTGTTTGCTTTCTTTTATTGTATTAATATGGTACATTGTGTAAATTAATTGTGAGATATTAAGTCAACCATCTATTCCTGGGATAAATCCTACTTGATAATGGTGTATCATCTTTTATAAATGTTGATGAACTCAATTTGCCAGTATTTTGTTGAGGATATCTACATCTGGTTTTATAAGCAATATGAGTATGTAGTTTTATTTATTTATGATACCTACATCTGGTTTTATAAGCAATATGAGTATGTAGTTTTATTTATTTATGATGTCTTTGTCTGGTTTGGTAATAGGTTAATAATGGCCTCATAAAAACAGTTGCAAAGAGTCTCTACTATTCTATTTGTTTGAAAGACATTGTGAAGAATTAATATTACTTCTTTAAATCTTTGGTATAATTCAATAGCGAATACAAGTGTGGCTGGACTTTTTTATATATAAGGTTTTTTTTGTTACTAATTCAAACTTTGTACTATGGATTGGAATATTCTGATATTCTGTTTAGGTCTTGAGTTTACTAGTTTGGATCTTTCTAAAATTGTGTTCATTTGATCAAATTATTTGGTTTGTTGTCATACAGTTATTCATAGTAACTCTATAATTCCTTTTATTTATATAAGGCTAGTAGTAATATTAATACTTCATATTTCCTATTTTATTTTTAAATACTTATTTATTCATTTATTTATTTATTGTGAAGAAGGGGTCTCACTCTCTTGCCCAGGCTGGCCACAAACTCCTGGCCTCAAGCAATCTTCCCACCTTGGCCTACCAAATTTCTGGGATTATAGGCATAAGCCACCACCTGTGGCCCATTTCTTATTTTAGTAAATTGAGTCTACTCTCTTTTGTTCTTGGTCAATTGACCTGAAGATTTTTTTGGTTCAAGTGATCATTTAGAAGAATAAACTTTTTGTTTTATTAATATTTCCCTATTTTTTTATTTTCTATTTTACTCATTTGTACTTTATTCCTTATTGTTTCCTTTCTTTTGCTTACTTTGGTTTTACTTTTCTCTTATTTTTCTAGTGTTTTAGAGTGAATGGCTAAATCATTTATTTGAAAATTTTATTCCTTTTTAGACAGGTATTTTGCAGTTATAAATTTTCCTCTATGTACTGCTGTAGCTGCATCCATACATTTTTGTATGTATTTTATTTTTATTTATCTCAAAGTATTTTTTAACTTTTTTAAATTTTTAATCCTTTGGGTACATAGTGGATATATATATTTATGAGGTACATGAGATATTTTGAAACAGACATATAATGTGTAATAATCACATCAAAGTAAATGAGGTATCCATCACCTGAAGCATTTTTTCTTTCTTTGAGTTACAAACAATCCAATTATACTATTTTAGTTATTTTAAAAGTACAATAAATTATTTTTGACTGTAGTCATCTTGTTGTGCTATCAAATCCTAGATTTTTTATTTCCCTTATAATTTCTTTTTTGAGCCATTGATTATTTAGTAATGTGTTTTATACTTTTACTTAATTATAATTTTCCATTTCTTTTCTCTTATTTATGTGCAACTTCTTTTCATTGTGACCAGAGATTTTTTTTTTTTTTTTCTGAGATGGAGTCTTGCTCTGTCACCCAGGCTGGAGTGCAATAGCACAGTCTAGGCTCACTGCAACCTCTGCCTCCTGGGTTCAAGCGATTCTCCTGACTCAGCCTCCTGAGTAGCTGGGACTACCGGTGCGTGCCACCACATCTGGCAAATGTTTGTATTTTTAGTAGAGACAGGGTTTCACCATGTTGGCCAGGCTGATCTCAAACCCCTGAACTCATGATCCACCTGCCTCAGCCTCCCAAAGTGCTGGGATTACAGGTGTGAGCCACCATACCCAGCCAGAGATGATACTTTTTATGGTTTTAATTCTTCCATATTTTTAAGTTTTGATGATACGTGTTCTATTATAGTGAATGCTCCATTTGCACTTAGGAAAAATGTATATTCTGATGCCCCAGGAATTTGTATTCTGCTGTTGTTGGAGTCTATAAACAATTCTTTGCAGAAATCTGTTAGGTCTAGTTTGTGTATATGATTCAAGACTTCTATTTCATTTTTAATCTTCTGACTAGTTTTTCTTCCCATGACTGAGAGTGGTGATAGTAAATTCTCCAACTATTATAATTAAATTGCCTTGATTTCCCCCCAATTCTATCAGCTTTTGTTTCATGTATTTTGGGATTCTGTTGTCGGGTGCTTAAATGTTGATTATTGTTATAACTTCCAAATGGACTGACCCTTTTATCATTATAACATGTCACACTTTCTGTTTTACTTTTTTATCTGACATTGTAATATTCACTCCAACTTTCTTAAGGTTACTCTTTGCATAATATACCATTCGTTTCTCTTTTACTTTCACCTGTTTGTATGTCTGAATCTAAAATGTTTCTCCTGTAGATTGTATATAGTTGTATCTTGTTTTTAGATTTAGTCTGACAATCCATGCAACTTGACAGGATTGTTTCCTCCATTCACATTTACTCTTCTTATTGTTATAGTCAAATTTACATCTTTCATTCTACTTTTTGTATTGTATATGTTTCATGTCTTTTTTTGTTTCTGTATTTCATATTTATTTATTTTGTATAAAGTAAATATTTTTTAATGTAACATGTTAATTACTTTAATTTTTTTAATTTTTTAAATTCTATTTCATTATCTTTATGGTTGCTCTAGGGTGTACTATATGCATCTTAATTTATCATAACCTGCCTCAGATTTAAACTAACTTAATTCCATGGATATATAGAAATATTACTATAATATAGCTCTATCTAATTCCCTTTTATTTGCTATTATTGTTACACACATTATATCCATATAACTTACAAACACAAAAATTCATTATTATAATCATTATTTACATAATTTTATATTTATTAAAGAAGCTGAGAAAACAAAGTAATTGTATAATTACAGACATTGTAATATTAATTTTTTGTTTATTATTAATTTTTATTTCATTTGTGCATAAGGTTTCAAGTAGCACGTAGTTTAACTTTCTTAATCCAATACAATTTTGCTTCCTCCTGCCATCTGTATGCTATTGGTTACTGGTCTCATTGTCAAATACATTCTATTTCTATATTTAACAGGCCGAAATATATAATTATATACATATTGTTTTATGCAATTGCTAATTAAACCAGTGAATAGAAGTAAACAATCTATGTATATATTGTCTTTTGTAATTACAAAATTACCTTTAACAATGCTGATAATTTTTTATGTCCATGCTTATTTTCTTTTGAGGGAGAAGAAAAGGTCAGTTAGGTGAACAGTTAAGGCTGGTCTCAGAGAAGCAGGCTGCCTGAAAAATCGAAGCTAGAGGCAAAAATAGAGCAGCTTGGGGAAAACTCAGGCTGCACCTGCACAGATAAGCAGCACAGAACCCTTATGTTCTTTGTGTGATTAGCGAGCTCCCAGAAAAAAATATATATTTGCTTCCCTTTTCATGCATATACGTGGTGTGCTTTGTAGGAACTTGCACAGGGAGAAGGGGGGCTTACCTAAAACAAATCCACAATTACACGAACAAGAGAAGTAGTGCATTGTGCTTGTCTAGAGACATACCGAAAACTACATAGATAAGGGGGAGTTGTGAAGAAGATTTGATAGATAGGAGAAGTTACTCAAATGGCTACAGAGCTGATAGGGGGTTCTTATAAAAGCTTTTGGATTCAACTGTAAAACAGCAACCTGTCTGGGACCCCTCTCTGCTGCAGAGAGCTTTCTTCTTTCGCTCGTTAAACTTTTGCTCCAACCTCACCCTTTGGGTCCACGTTCTTAATTTTCTGGTTGTGAGACCACGAGCTCAGATTACAACTTAGACAACAAGACCAGTGACCTTCCATTGTTTCACTTTCACCCTAAAGAACTTCATTTAGTATTTCTTATAAAGTAAATGTACTAGCAATGAATCCTCTCAGATTTTGTCTGTGAGTATTTTTATTCCTCTTTCATTTTCAAAGATAATTTTACTGGATGCAAGATTCTTGCTCAGCATTTTCTTTCCTAGTACTGTAAAAATGTCATTCCACTGATAACTCATCACCATTCCCCGAGGGAAAGAAAGCTGCTAACTTAATTGGGTTTCTCTAAGATATGGGGAGTCATTTTTAAATTTTTTTTCTTGCAGCATTCATAACTTTCTGTCTGTGGCTTTTCATTATTTTTATTTCAATGTGTCTTGGTGTGAATCTCTTTCCATTTATACCACTTGGACTTTGTTGAGCTTCTTGGATATGTAGATTAATGTTTTTCAGCAAATGTTAAAAGTTTTCAGCCATACACTGTTGAATATTTTTTAATCTTTCTGTTTCTCTTCTCCTTTTGACATTTCTAGTATGTGTATGTTAGTGTGCTAAAAGGTATCTTGCAATTCTCTGGGGTTCTATTCATTTGTCTGTATTCTATTTACTCTCTGTTTTTCAGATTGCATAGTCCATATTAATCTGTCTTCAAGTAATCTGATTTTGTTTCTGCAATTTCAAATCTGTTGTTAAACTCCTGCAATACATTTTTTTCATTTTGGTTATTTTTAACTCCTGAAGGTTCATTTAAAAACATATTTCCTATCTTTTGAAAGCCTTATATTTCTCTATACATCTTTAATATTATCTCCTTTAGTTCTTTAGACATATTATAATGGCTACATTGAATTTGTTCTTTGTTAGACATGACTTCTCACTGGTCATTATCACAGGCAGTTTTTCTTGCCTGCATTTTTGTGTATATATTGGTCACATATTTATGTTTTTTCATGTGACCCTTAATTTTTGGTAGAAAACTGAAAATTTTACAGAATACATTATAACAACTTTAGATACTGATTTTTCTCCCCACTCTCTGGTGCCTGTTTGTTTTGTGACTTGTACAGGCTATTTTAGTGAAGTGTATTTCCTTCACCGTGTGAAAATTATGGTGTGACTCCCCAGAGAATATAGACTTGGAAATGGATGTGCAGTCATTTGAGAATGACAGTGTTTTTTTAGGGCCCTTTTTTACTGTCTCAATCTCTCTGTTAAGCATCTGCTACATTTGATATTCATATTCTGTCCTTTAGTTTCTACTATTTACTGGCTTATTGCTCTATTATTTTTCACAATGTCATGGCACAAATTGCTCCATAGTCTGCTGTACTTAAATTTGGACAGGGGTAGTGTTTGAGGCCAAACTTTGACACATTCTTTCCAACAAGGGCTCTTCTTAGCTATCTCTTTCTATCTGATGAACTAGTTCACTTTGTTTCTCCCGGGTGAACGTATTGGCTATGGTTAAGCTTGTGTTGCATAATTAAGAGGAGTTATTATTTTGGGGAATACTTATATTTGAACTTCTCCACACTGTTTTATATAAATTCAGTTACTTTGTGGAGAGGTCTGAACCTCTCTTTTGTTATTCAACTGCTTCTCGTCCTGGGAAAACTCTCTGGAAATTATGCAAGAGAGTAGTCCCTTGTCCTTTTAGGTTGCCTCTCACAGCATGGTAGCTTTCCCAAACCAGACACTTGGGTCTAGAGCACTGTGGGTCCAAATATCAGTCTGATGTGCCTGAGAAACAGTGCTTGTCCTGTGGGTATGGGTTGGGTGGAGGAAGTGAGCCCTTTTCCTCTTGGTCACCAAAAAAATAAATAAATAAAATAAAATAAATTGGAATTTAACCTCTTTAACTTGTAGTTAAATATAATAAATACTGTCATTTTGCCCCACTCGGTCAGAAATGGCAACACTTGGTAGGAAGTTTGACCCATCTTTTTAGCAATACCTGCTCAGAGGGGTGGTTACATCAAACTGAGCTGAGGTCATGACAGAAAGTTGGTTATGGCTCAAATGACACATGATTTACAGTTCTTAGAATTATGGTTGATTATTTTGAACAAATCTTTCATCACTTTTCTATATACCTTAGGGTAATTTTCAGAGACTTTAAAATATTATGTTATCATTTTCATAAGATATTCTTGCTTCACCATGGAATGGATCCACAAAGCTTCAAACATTGTCATCCAGATGAGAAACAGAATTCTTTACTTTCTGGCCAGGCGCAGTGGCTCACGCCTGTAATCCCAGCACTTTGGGAGGCCGAGGCGGGCGGATCACGAGGTCAGGAGATCCAGACCATCCTGGCTAACACGGTGAAACCCCGTCTCTCTCTACTAAAAATACAAAAAATTAGCCGGGCGAGGTGGCAAGCGCCTGTAGTCCCAGCTACTCGGGAGGCTGAGGCAGGAGAATGGTGTGAACCCTGGGGGCGGAGCCTGCAGTGAGCCGAGATGGCGCCACCACACTCCAGCCTGGGCGACAGCAAGACTCCGTCACAAAAAAAAAAAACAAAAAATTCTTTACTTTCTACCTAGTGTCTTTTCCTCTTTCAGGATTCCATCCAGAACACCACACTACATTTAGTTGTCATGTTTTCTTAGGCTCCTCTTGGCTGTAACAATTTGCCATATTTTATGTTTGTTTGTTTTCGGCAGCCTTGAGAATTGTTGATCAGATATTTTGTAGGATGACCCTCTATTGTAATTTCACTGATGCTTTTCTCATGATTAGCTGGAGTTACGAATTTTTGGGAGGAGGTGAACAGAGGTAAAGTGCCATTTTTACCACAACATATAATGTTTTGCATGACATAAACTTTTATATTGGTAGTTTTATTTTATTTCAATATTTTAAATATTTCAACCTTCATTCTCTTCTTGCTTACTGGGTTTCTAGTAAGTAGCCCAATGTAATTCTTAGGCTTACACCTCTATAACTAAAATGTTTTATTCTCTCTCTTCATTGAAGCATTTTTTTTTTTTTTGGCCTTTGATTTTCTGCAGTTTGACTGTATGCCTAGCTCTAGATTTTTTTGTATTTATCCTTTTTTGGTGTCCTCTAAGCTAACTAAATTATATAGTTTAGTGTCTGACATTAATTTTGGAAAGTATCTTCTCTTCTTATATTCTATTTATAACTGTGTTACACATTTTGAAATTGTAACACAATTTTCAGATGTGTTTTTTAAAATTTTTTATTTTCTTTTGTTTTTGCTTTTCAGTTTGGGGAATGTCTAATGACATATTTTTATCCTCACTTATTCTTTTATCAGCAGTGTCAGTGTAATGATGTGCCCGCCAAAGGCATTATTTGTCTTGTTTTATTAGATATTTTGTTTTAATTCTTTCTTAGAGACCATCTCTCAGGTTATATTTTCCATCTGTGCTCTCATGTGGTCCACATGTTCCATTATAGCTCTTTAACATATTAATCAAGATTATTTTAAATTTCATATCTGATACTTCCAAAGTATGTGTCATATATAAATTTGGTTTTAATGTTTGTTTTGTCTCTTCAGAGTGTATATTTCCCTGCCTGTTACTGTCATTTGTACTTTTTTAAGCTGGATAGGTTATACTAAATAATAAAAAATAATTTATGCTTTTAGTGTAATGTTTAATGTTAATCTGGCTAGGAGTTATGCTGTGTTCTAATGTTTGCTGTAACTGTAGATTCCAAAGGCTTCAATTTTCTCTACTGTCCATGTCTTTATCTCTCCTATTGTTTTTAGGTTTTCCCATACACAACTTCTTAAATAGAGTCAGTGTCTTGTGGCTCTTTCAGTTGTAATTTACTGTTTATTCACAAGAGCTCTGCTGCCGTGATGGCAAGGAATGGGGAAAGAAAGCATTCTAATATTTGATTGTAGCTCTGTCTTTAAGTGAGCTTGTGCCCCTTGGCTGTGGTGGGACAGGAAGGCTAGAGGGGCCTGAATATGGATAATTATCCTTCTACCAGTTTAGATAAGTCTTTGATAAAGTTTTTTCCCTTGTGAACTATGCCTTTGTTATAGAGAACACTCTGGGCATATTTCAAAGTGGATACTTTTTTTTTTCTCAACTACTGGAAACACAAGCAGATTTTTCTTGGCTCTTCACCATGAGAGCCTAAAGGGGTTACAGGAGGTAGAAATTGTAAACGTGTGTGGGCATCCGTAATACTGGATCACAGGATTTATTTTACTCTCAAGCTTTTCCACACTAATCCTCCAGTAGCTCATGAAAATTAAGTGTTGCTAAAGATTTTGGATACTGTGACTCTTTTTCCAAATAAGCTGTTCTCAGGGGTAATTCTCTGTATTACCCTATCTCTCCAGATTTCAAGATGGCAGTTTTCCCTGTGACTTCAATTATCTGATGGTCCAAGTGAAGTTGTTTACTTACAGTTTGTCTTTTTTTGTATGTTTTTAAGGTCAAGAGTGACCACATAAAAGCTCTTTATATGTTAGAGCTGGAAGGGGAAGTCTAGATGGCTTTTTTTTTTTTAATATACGTCTTTCTTTAATATACAATGAGCTTATAAAGCTTTAATACTTTTTAAATAGCTATCTTATGTCTGCTGTTATTTTGTTGTACCTTAATGACGTAATGGATTTTTAACTAATAAAATACACATATTAAAAGATATAAAGAGTCACGAGAATTAAAGTCAGTTCTATTTGAATAATATATAAATCCCACTGAGGTTTAGTATTTAAATCACTTTATGAAATTAATCCTACTTAGAACTGACAAAAACATAATTTTGATGTACAAAACAATAATACTTCAAGTATAATAAAGCTGTTGACTTAATAAATATTTTCTACGCCATGGTAGAAAGTCAATATTTTAAGGAAATAAGCACAATCTGGGAACACTTGGCACAGCTTTGATAAATATATCTAGAGCAGAAAACTATATTTAATATACTCTACAAAAATTTATTCAAGGCATTTCTTAATTTCTAAATAAAATAAAATTTTTGGCCAGGAGTGGTGGCTCATGCCTGTAATCCCAACATTTTGGGAGGCCAAGGCTGGTGGATCACCTGAGGTCAGGAGTTCAAGACCAGCCTGACCAACATGGAGAAACCCCGTCTCTACTAAAAATACAAAATTAGCTGGGCGTGGTGGTGCATGCCTGTAATCTCAGCTACTTGGGAGGCTGAGGCAGGAGAATCACTTGAACCTGGGAGGCAGAGGTTGTGGTGACCCAAGATTGCACCATTGCACTCCAGCCTGGGCAACGAGAACAAAACTATATCTCAATTAAAAAAAAAATTCACTTTCAAATATTGCTATGTCCTACTTTCTGTGTAGACATGCAGCACACCTGATATTGTATGACATGATAAAATTGCATTGCTCTTGAGCTTTTCTTTCTGTGGGTAGAAATGAATTTCAATGCTATTTTGGAGGATTTATCATATTTTCTCTGTTTATTCAATAACAATTTGTTCTTTTATCTAGAAAATGAGCAGAAAATTTTTCTTTTCATTAAAAATGAGGTCAACTTTCCTCTCATTGTTTATTCTCAAGAAAGAACACGTCACTGACAGGAAAAGTAATAGAAAGAAACGAATTACATATTGTGTTAGTCTGTTCTCGCACTGCTATAAAGAACTGCCAGAGACAGGGCAATTTATAAAGGAAAGAGGTTTAATTGACTCACAGTTCCACATGGCTGAGGAAGCCTCAGGGAACTTAACAATCATGGCAGAAGGCGAAGGGGAAGCAAGACACTTTCTTCAAAATGTGGCCAGAGGGAGAATGAATGCAGGAGAAACTACCAAACACTTAGAAAACCATTAGCTCAAATCTTGTGAGAACTCACTCACTATCATGAGAACAGCATGGGGGAAATCACCCCCATGATTCATTTACCTCTGCCTGGTCTCTCCCTTGATACATGGGGATTATGGGGATTATGTTGGGAACAGGCCCCCAAATCTGGCCATAGACAGGCCCCAAAACTGGCCATAAACAAAATCTCTGCAGCACTGTGACATGCTCATGATGGCTATGATGTTCACGCTGAAGGTTGTTGGTTTACCAGAATGAGGGCAAGGAACACCTGGCCCACCCAGGGTGGAAAACTGCTAAGGTTGTTCCTGAACCACCAACAATAGCATGAGTGATCTGTGCCTTAAGGACATGTTCCTGCTGCAGATAACTAGCCAGAGCCCATCCCCTTGTTTCCCATTTTAATTAATCTATAATCTATAGAAACAATGCTTATCACTCACTTGCTGTCAATAAATATGTGGGTGAAACTGCTCGTGGCTCTCAGCTCTGAAGGCTGTCAGCCCCCTGATTCCCACTCCACACTCTATATTTCTCTGTGTGTGTCTTTAATTCCTCTAGCACCGCTGGGTTAGGATCTCAACGGCTGAGCTGGTCTTGGCAGGATTATAATTCAAAATGAGATTTGGGTGGGGACACAAAGCCTAACCATATCACATGCAAAAGTTAAAATTAGATTCTCACTTACTCTCATACTAAAACTTTAAGATTTGAAACATTAAGCATGAGAAAATATGTAAAGCTATTAGGAACCTGCCTGGCACAAAATAAGCACTCAATAAAGGTGAGCTACAATTATTATTTGTGATAATATTATTAATTGGATCAAGCATTATATGCTTTAATTTTATTTAATTATGGTTTAATTATGGTTTAATTTTTTAATTAAAACATTTTTTAATTTAATCTTCAATGCAACAATATATTAAGAGGTGAGACCTTTGAGAGATAATTAGGCCATGAAGGCTGCACTCTCATAAATAAATTAATGCTGATGATAAAAGGGCTTGAGGATGTGAGTTCAATCTTTCTGTCTCTCTTCCTCTGTCACCCTCTCAACTTCTGCTGTGGGATGACTTTGGAAGAAGGCCCTCACCAGATGCAATCACTTTGATATTAGACTTAGCTTCCAGAACTGTGTGAAATAAATTTATTTGTAAATAATCAAGCATGTGGTATTCTGTATTAACAACATGAAATTAACCAAGAAAAACCACTTTTCAGAGCATTTTGGCAATATCTCCCCAAATTAGAATATACATCTTTGTTGATGCAGCCATTTCACATCTAGGAATGTTTATTAAGTAAATAAATAATATATTAATTTCTATAAATTATTATTTATTATATATTATAATATAAACACTTTAATCACTATTATTAAATACTGGGGTAAGCAGGATTCTAATGTGCATTTCCACTACATTCTCACTTCATGATCCTTTATATAATTCCTTCCTTTTGAATACATATGAAATCTGTGAATACAATTAAATATCAACCCTATTATTAGGTTCCTAATTAGTTGAGTAGGAATTAATCAAAATAAAGATTATCCTGGTGGGCCTCACCTAATCAATCAAGCCCTTAAAAAGGACTGTGTCTTTTTGAAAAAGAAGAGTGTCAAAGCACAAGAGGGATACTCTTGTTTATCTTAAATGTGCAAATGCCCAGGATGTGGAGAGGATGATGTGGCAAAAAGTGGCTAGGTCCCTAGAATTGTTTCTGGTTAGTATCCAGTAAAACAATGGAAGGCAAGGCACCACGGATCTTTCCTGTAATTTCAACGCTTTGGGAGGATGAGGTGGGAGGATCACTTGAGTCTGGGAGGTGGAGGTTGCAGTCCCCTGAGATCATACCACTGTACTCTAGCCTGGGTGACAGACCAAGACTGTCTAAAAAAAAAAAAAAAAGAAAAAGAAAGAAAAAAGAAAGTGGAAATATTAGTGATATGAGTACAGAAAATTAAATTTTTCCAACAATCAATGAAAATAACTCAGTAGAAATGGTAAGAACCTCCAAAATGTCTTTTCTTCTTAAAAACAAATAGAAAACTGGCAACTATTGTCAGAACCAAGTTTTTCAGAATGATAGAAATTACAAAAAAAAATCCTCAGATGTTTTATTCAAAAAAAATTTAATAATATTGATCTTTGTGGTGTTTTAACTTGCCTTGGTCCAATCTCCTGCTCTCTAGCTCTGCAGTTTAACTGAAAACTAACAGCCCATATTTCCAATGAAGACCAGTAGCCAGGCAGAAACCAAAAAATAAAAATGACACTGAAGCTTCTGCAAAACCCCATTCCCAGAGGATGGTCATTAGTTGGTCTCTGTCTTAGTTCCATGGAAGACCTCACTAAGAATATTGTGTGCATTTGACCTAACTTAGAGCTTGCCCAACTTGAGCAGTCTCCTTCCTGGGAGCATTTGTTAACAATTATTGCAGGCAATTGTTTAATTTCATGGACGCCTGAGGTACTAGATAAAAATTGAATCAAATACACTAACCAAAAGCTTAAAATTAAAAGTTGCAGAATAAGGTGTCTGTAAGTATTTTGGGAAGTTCTGACATATTTCTGGGAAGCTAGAAGGGCACATACATAGAAAGCTATATAAATACCCAGGTCAGTACACATGCTCAGAAGTGACCTGAGAAGGCTTTAAGCTGTCAACTCTGATAGATCCTGAGGCTCTGCATAAACAGGAAGTAAAGACTGAAGCAGAATTGTCATTGCTTGAGTGTTGAAGACATGTTCCAAGAGGCATACAGATTTAAATAATATGAAGTGTATTCTTCATTGAAAATGGAATAAAGGTAGATTTTTTTTAAAAAAAGAAAAATGTAAATTCACCAATTTGTGAAAAATAAACAGCACACTACCAAATAACCAATGAGTCAATGAAAATACAACAGAACTAGAAAATATTTTGAGATGAATTATTCTACGTGGCTAGTATTACATTCCTTGACACCAAAACCAGGAAGTCATAAGAAAATATACTTTATGAATAAAGACACAAAATCCTCAACAATATGCTAGCAAAACAATTTGAGCAGCCTATAAAAATGACTGAACACCACATATTACAGTAGATAGCTAGTCAGGCATGAGCAGAACAGGAGAGAGCCTCCCCAGACACCCCACTAGCAAAGTCAGGTAACCATTAGGTGATGGTCAGGCAGTTGTTAACTGCCTCTCTAAAATAATAATTGGTTGCAGCCAGCAGAAGGGAAAGGCATTTTCCCAATAGGTAAAAACACCTGTAACTATAATCAACAGCTTCCCAGTAAGATCTCAGGAGTTAGGTGAGAGAGGTCAAGCATGCACATTAAGAGGCAAAATGGTGGAGTTTAACTGGTATATAACCTTCTGGGGGCATTCCACTAGCAAAGGGAAGAATGCCTCAAGTGAACATGTGTACAACTCCAATAAACACGCTGTGCATGTGGGCAGCCCGCCCCAAGGGAAGAATCCAGGGAAAAGGGACACAAGATTCCTAAAATAGGCCAGCATATAAAACCCTAAGTCCAAGGCCAAACAGGGCATATGTCCTTCAAGTCACCCACTTGGCCCTCTTCCAAGTGCACTTTGCTTCCTTTTGTTCCTTCTCTAGAACTTTTTATTAAACTTTCACTCCTGCTCTAAAACTTGCCTCAGTCTCTCCTTCTGCCTTATGCCTCTCAGTTGAATTCTTTCTTCTGAGGAGGCAAGAATTGAGGTTGCTGCCGACCCGTACGGTTTCACTACCAATAAAACACAAGTAAGGGTGATTTATTCCAGGATTGCACTTATGATTCATCATAAGAAAATTAGTCAAAATAATACAACATATTAATAGAAAAAAGGAAAAATTACATTATTATATCTATATATATGAAAATTTCTGACAGAATTAAACACCCATCATTATAAAAGCAAACAAGAAGGTAGAAATAGACAGGATCTTCCTCAATCCAATAAAGGGCATCTATGAAAAATCCATAGTTAACAACATCATACTTACTGGTAAAAGACTAAAAGCTTTCACCCTTAAGATGAAGAAAAAGACAAGGATATCAACTCTTTTTTTTTTTTTAATTTAAGGCTCTAGTTGAATCATTTAGGCAAAGAAAAAAAGAAATAAATAATATGCATCTAGATTGGAAAGACAGAAGTAACTCAGTCTCTATTCAGATGACATCTCATAAATGAAAAATTATAAAGAATCTACTATTAGAGCTAATAAATAGTTTTGAGAGTCTTCAAAAATCAATCATATTTCTGTACTGTAGCAATTAATTGGAAAACACAATTACAAAAACAATTTTATTAACAATAACATCACAAAGATAAAATACTTAAGAAAAAATTAATTAAACAACTTTAAAACTCTTATATTAAAAACTGCAAAATATCATGAAAAGAATTTAAAGGCTAAATAAAAAGAAAAACATTATTGTGTTAATAGATTAGAAGATTTAATATTATTAAAATGGCAAACACTGTCTAAGGTAATTATAGATTCTATTTGAAGCCTATTAAAATTTTAATAGCATTTTTGCACAAATTGACAAGATAGCCCTAAAATTCATATAGAAATTTAAGGAACTCAACTAGTCCAAACCATTTTACATCAGAACAACAAATTTGAAGTACTCACGTTTTCAATATCAAAACTTACTTCAAAGATACAGAAGTAAAGGCAGTGAGGTGCTGGGACAAGAACATGCATACATATAAATTGAATAAAATTGAGATTTCAGAAATAAATCTAGATTGCTATAGTCAATTGATTTTTAAAAAGTGTGTAAACACAATTCGATTACTATTTTGAACAATTGATGTTGGACTCTTTCAGCATATAAAATTTTACCTCAAAATAGGTCAAAGCAAGAAATGTAAGAAATAAAACTATGAAACATGTATGTAACCCTTTATGATCTTTCATTTGGCAAAATTTTCTTAGATACGATACTAAACATACAAATAATAAAACAATAAATAGATAACTTGAACTTCATTAAAATAAAGCCTTTTTTTTTTTTTTTTTTTGAGACGGAGTCTCGCTTTGTCACCCAGGATGGAGTGCAGTGGCGCGATGCTGGCTCACTGCAAGCTCTGCCTCCGGGATTCACGCCATTCTCCTGCCTCAGCCTCCAGAGTAGCTGGGACTATAGGCGCCTGCCACCACGCCCGGCTAATTTTTTTTTTTGTATTTTTAGTAGAGACGGGGTTTCACTGTGTTAGCCAGGATGGTCTCAATCTCCTGACCTCGTGATCCACCTGCCTCAGCCTCCCAAAGTGCTGGAATTACAGGCGTGAGCCACTGCGCCCGGCCAATAAAGCCTTTTATGTTTCTAAGGATACTGTCAATAAAGTAAAAGAAACCCAAAACCCAAAAACAAAAACTAATCACAGAATGGGAGAAAATATTTGGAAATCATAGATCTGACAAGGAACCTGTATCCAGAATATATGAATACTTTTTAAAAATAAAAAAGAGAAATAACACAATAAAAGCAGACACATAATTTAAATGACACTTTTCCAAGAAGATATAAAAATGTCAAATAAACACATGAAATATTCTCAACATTGTTAGTCATCAGGAAAATGCAAATCAAAACCATTATCAGAATCTACTTTACACATACTAGATGGCAATAATAATAACAATAACAAAAATAATAATAGAAAGATAAATGACAAGCACTGGCAAGGATGTATAGGAGGGCACTCATAAATTGTTGATGGCAAGATAAAATGGGAAAGCCACTGTGTAGGGAAATACAGGGTTTCAGTTTCTCAAAAGGTTTTGCATATGGTTACCATATGACACAGCAATTTTACTTTTTGTTATATATCTAAGAGAATTGCAAACATATGTCTACAACAAAACTCATACATTAATGTTTATAGCAGCATTATTCACAATATTCAAAAAATGGAGAAAACACAAATTTCCATAGATGAATGAATAAACAAAATATGACATTTAATGAAATGCATTCAGTCATTAAAAGGAGTTAGGTGCAGATACATCTACAACTCAGACAAACCTTGAAACATGATGTTATGGGGTAAAAATGAGACATAAAAGGCGACTGGGATATTATGACATATGTATATTTGTTTTAATCCATGGTTTGTAGCTCATAACTCCCATAGCCCCTGCTATAATTGTTGTATTGCTTTAGCCCTCACAAGCAGGCCTCAGAAAACAGAATCTCTTTCTTTTTGTTCTTATCCTGCCCTTTTTTCATCTGCTACTTTTTCTTCCCAAGGCAGAAATTTTCCTCTGCCTTTCTGTCTTGGAGGTGGGCATAAAGAAATTCTCCAACCCACCTTGTCTAATTGTAAGTCATATGACTCTCATTTCAGAAGAGGTCTTGTCTCAAACCCTAGATGAAAAAACGATGCACAGAGAGGACAAGAGGGATCAGAATAGACAGATCTTGTGACTTTTTCCCACTCAGCCTGTTAGTATTAGATTATACCCTTTTTGTCCAATCACATTTCTACACAGTTGTTTATGCTTTAATCATGCCTTTCCAATGAAGTCCCCATAAAGGCCTAAAAGAATGAGGTATGGAGAGCTTCCAAATAGCTAAACACATATGGAGGTTCATTTTTGAGTGGACTAAGGATTTGAAGCAAGAATGGGTACCAGAGGAGATTACATTTTATTGCTTTGGGAAGACAGAGAGTGTTAACGAGGGGGGAAATATTGTAGCATGTTACAAAGCGATATAAACAGTGTGATTACATTTTGATTAAAAATGCATAGATATGTATAAAAGGAAATATATATGTCAATAGATAAGCAGATACCCACTAAAGTATTATTATTTGTGATCTCTGGGTTGTGGGAATATAATGTTTTACTTTTCTTACTTCAAAAAGTGTTTCCAACTGTATATAGATTTTTCTATAGTTTATATACTGCTTTTGTTACTTTTTTAAAAATACCAAAATGACTGCCATCTTAACAAAAAAACACAAAACTCCAAGCTTGGAAGAGAATCTCAAGTTCCAGGTGAGATCGCAGACTTGACTGGTACCTTGATTTTAGCTTTTTTTTAGGGCTTGTGGGAAAGAATTGACTAATCCGTATCTGAAATTCTGATCTACAGAAAATTTAAGACAATAAATGTGTGTTGTTTTAAGCTGCTGAATTTCTGAGATTTTTTTACACAATAGAAAACTAATACATATACATTTTGGTATTACCATACAATGGAATGGTATGTGACTGTTAAAGAGAATGGGGTAAATATAGCTGTAATGATCAAAAAGAAATTAAAGATACATTATTATGTTAAAAAGATAAAAAAGATGTGAAACATATTTTTAAACATTCTCATTTAAATTTAAAAGGGATATATATCTGTATACACACACATACCTGTCAGCTGTGATTTGTAAAACCCTTCACTTCAATTAACTTGAAGAATAAAGTAATTTACTATATCACATGACAAGGAGTACAGACGGTGTGTAGTTTTCAATTTAATTGAGTCAGTGATTTGATATTGTCATCTAGAACTCAGGTTCTTTCTGTTTCTCCACTACTTTCTATAGAATTGGCTTTATTCTAATAATAATGTTAATAGTAACTAGTATTTAGTACGAGTTGGGCACTTTACTAAATTACATTTATTTACACATGTTGTTCTTTTTCACTGCAATGTAACTACCATTATTATCCTTACATTGTATACCAAAAACTACTGAAGTTCAGAGAAGCTATATAATCTGCCAAAGTCACACAGCAGCATAGTAATCAAACCCACAAAGCCCAGCTCCAGAGACAATTCACTTTCCATCTTCCCCAAGGTTGGTTCCTCATATGGTCAAAAATGGTTATCAGTAGTAAATATAGCATCATGCTTTCTTCTTCAAATTTATTACTGTAGAAGACAAGTTTTTCTTGTGACCAAATGTTAAAAGCATCTTCTTTTAGTGGTAGATGCTAGAGTTACTCACAGCCTTTGGTTTTTATTTATTCTTTACCTTAGGATCTTTAGACCACTTTCCTGTTGAGTTACATGTTTTTTCTCGAGCATGACAAAGGATGAAAGAATTGTGAGTGTAAAAGATTGTACTAGTCTATTGAATGTTCCTTAGCATTTCAATGAAGCATTATGAACAGCAAAATGTTGGAAATTGAGGATAAATAGAATTTAATATTTTTGAAGGGTTTTACTTGACCATAGAAAGGAATTTTAGGCAAGGTAAAGTGTGATGGTAAAATAGTTAACATTTATGGAGCTATCAATATGTTCTAGGCAAAATTATAAACGCTTTCTTTAAAATTTATAAATTAATATTCACAATAATCCAGTGAGGTTGATACTATTATTATACTCATTTTTAAAATTAGCAATAAATATAAGGTATAAAAATTGCTAAAGGCTGCATGATTAGTAAATTGCAGATCTAAGATTTAAACTTGAGAGTCCCTGCTCTTAAACACTTTGCTGTATTAATGAGTATTTCAAATTTGCAGTTAAAGGTGGCAGAGAGATGAGAGAAAACAGAGATTTTTCTGTGAAGATTGCTTAAAATAATTTAATTTGATATGCTGTGTATTGCAATGACTTTTTGGATAGACACACTGCACTTAAAACTAGTTTATACTTGATATTAAAAAATATTATTTTGATATAAAAGTAGCCTTAGTCAATAAACATTAAAGTAATATAAAATACTAAAAATTGCTATCAATTTAATCACTTTTTGTTTCTTTAACCAGTTATTTCTTTAAAAAATATAAAAATGCGTATACACTACACATTTTACTAATAATGTAACAAATGTGACAAATTAGCAAATATATTTATATCGGTTAGTACATTTAATTGTCATAATAATTCAGGTAGGAACTGAAGGTAATTATCATGGCTATTTTGCTAACGGCTTATTACTAAGTCAGAAGGAATAAATGATTGCTCAAGATCACATAGCACACTGGTAGATGCAGCAATAGAATCTGTACCTTGTAATTTCCACTCTACTTTCCTGAAACATATTGCTTTCCAATGCATACTCATATACACAGACATACATAGCAGAGCAAGGGGCAGTAAAACATTTCTGTTAATTCTTTCCATTGAGAGAGATTAGCTATGGAACTTGGCACTCGCCACCCCTGTGCCCCACCAAGGACTTCTACTGAAAGCTGATAGGGGGGCCCTTTGGGAAGCAGGGATCCCAACCAGACCACCCGGACCTTGTGTGCCACGCCAGATTTCCATTAGCAGACACAGCAGCCAGTTTTTACTAATACTTTACTGTAATTCTGATGAATATATAAGTTAAACATTAAAGAACTGGAGCAACTAATGCAAGTACAAGGGGTAGAATGTAAAACAAACTCATTAAAATCCTACCTGGATTTTCTTAAACTCGTCCATTCAGGAAGAAATCTAATAAACTTTCCTACTTGCAGACCCCTAGTTAAGATTAGATTGATTAAGAAACACTCCTGCAGGCAAGCAAAAAGCTTCAATTATATATATAAGCTAAAATAAATTGCAACTGTGAGTTGGTCTGGTCAGTTACTCCGACCTTCTCCCTGTAACCAGTTGCAGAAATAAATCTTCTTTCCCAATCTGTCTGCATCCCGTTATTAGACTATGAGAACAAGCAGCCAGACCTCACGGATCCAGGAACATTTGCGTCATCAATATTGCTTAAAGTGCCATACTCACTGATTGCAAGGCCTTGAGGAAACTACAATGTGCAGCTCTCACCATACATTTTACTCAAGGAAGTGAAGCAGAAGTTAAAAAGGGAAAAAACAAGTTTTCCTGTGCTTGGCTGACTCCCTCCAAGGCCAGCAATAGGCAGGGCCCTGGCAGAGCCTTGATAACACTATCTGTAAAGCCAGAGCCCAAAGGAATGAGCTCCAGAGACACTCTGAACAACACCCCCTCCCCGGAGCGAGGATAAGAAAAGAAAATAACAAATTCCTTTCTCACAACTATTTCTAAAAACACCAGTGTTTTACAAGTTTTGTAAGTTCCTGTTTTCCCTGCAGTGCAGCTGCAAGGTCACAAGCTGTGCTTGGGTTGCAAGACCTGTCACAACTTAATTAACTGCCTTTGTTTTGCTTCTGTAAGCCCGCTTGCCTGCCACACAGGTTTTGTGCTTTCAAATTCCCGCTGCACCATTCAAACTAGCCAACCCCCTTTCAGAAGTGTGTATAAAAGTCAAGCCCTGTCTTTATCTGGGGCTCGCCTTTGGATGTTAATCTGCTGAGTCAGTGGCCACCTAATAAAATCCTCCTGTTCCACCCATTGGTCTATCCAGTCTCCCGATTCCTGCAACAGAAGTTAACTCTATTTCCTGCTTGTGCATAAGGCCAGTAAAATAACTAATCCTTAACCTTACCTTAATTAAAAATCACACCCAAGGTTAGAGATTTAACATGCTAATAAGACATGCAATACATGAAGAAGCATGCTAACAAACTGCAGGTGTTAAAAATTCCCCACATCTATATGCCTAAATATCACTCCTTTCCCACTGTAGCCCCTTTAAAACTTTCTTTCCAAATCCCTCTGAGGAGTCAGCCAGATAATTCTCTCTCTCTTATGCTGCCTCACTTTTGCCTGGGCATAAGCTCTGTAATGGTTAATATTAGGTGTCAACTTGATTGTGTTAAAGGATGGCTAGATGGCTGATAAAGTATTATTTATGGGTGTGTCTATGAGAATGTTGCCAGAGGAGATTGACATTTGAGTCAGTGAACTGAGGGAGGAAGACCCACCCTCAATTTGGGTGGCCACCATCCAATCTGTTACCAGGGCAGCAAAAACAAAGCAGTTGGTAGATGGGATAAACTTGCTTCCTGAGACTCTTTCTCCATTGCTGGATATCCCTTCCACTCCTCCTGCCCTTGGATATCAGACGTCTTGGATATCTTTGGCCTTTGGACTCTTGGACTTACACCAGTGGTTTGCCAGTGGCTCTCAAGCCTTTGGCCAGAGACCGAAGGTTGCACTGTCGACTTCCCTGCTTTTGAGGATTTCAGACTTGTACTGAGCCACTGCTGGCTGCTATCTTCCTTAGCTTGCAGACAGCCTATTGTAGAACTTTGCCTTGTGAGTGTGTGAGCCAAGTCTCCCTAATAAACTTCCTTTCATAAATATATAATTAGGGAGACTTGGCTCACACACTCACAAGGCAAAGTCCTACACTTTTATATATATTTATATAAATATATAACATTTATATAATTTTATATCATATTTATATAATATTCTATATAGTTTTTATAGATAATATAATATATATTTATATATAAATTATATACAAAATATATATTATATATTTTGTATATAATATATACACGCTATATGTATACAAAATAATATATATATTTTGTATATAATATATAAATGTATATAAATATAAAATAAAATACATTATATATTATATATAAAATAAAATACATGATACATATTATGTATAAAATAAAATATATAATATATATTACAAAATAAAATATATAATATATAAAATATAACATATATTATATATAAAATATACCATATGAAATATATTTTATATATTATGTATAAAAATATACATATATGTATATTTTTGTGTATTTATATATGTATATATATTTATATACATATATTTATATATATTGATGTACATATATATTTATATATATTGATGTACATATATATTTATATATATTGATGTACATATATATTTATATATATTGATGTACATATATATTTATATATAGATATACATATATTTATATATAGATATACATACATTTATATATATTGTTATACATATATTTATATATTTATATACATATATTTATATATTTATATACATATATTTATATATGTATATTTATATATATAACTGTATATATGTATACATTTTTTATTATATATTTATATATAAATATATTTTTATATATATATTTATATATAAATATATATAATATAAGAATGTACAAATATTTATATAATATATAATTTATAATATGTATATATCTTATTAGCTTCATCCCTCTGGAAAACCCTGACTAATACAAGCTCCAATAAAGCTTTATCTGGGAAAACTCTTTTGGCCTTATGTCAATTTATATTGCATTGAGAACCCAAGAACCCATGGTCAATAACACCATGATCTAGTTTGTCAATCTTCACAAAAATTTGAGCAAAATGAGAAACTAAACTGAGCTTTTGATCACCTGGAACATTGATTTGGTATTAAATATTCCTTGGCCTGGCCCAGTGGCTCACACCTGTAATCCCATCACTTTGGAAGGCCGAGGCGGGTAGATCACTCGAGGTCAGGAGTTCGAGCCTGGTCAACATGGTGAAACCCCGTCTCTACTAAAAATACGAATATTCGCTGGGCATAGTGGTGCACATTTGTAATCTCAGCTACTTGAGAGGCTGAGGCATGAGTATCCCTTGACCCTGGGAGGCAGAGGTTGTAGTTAGCCGAGATCATGCCACTGCACTCCAGCCTAGGCAACAGAGCAAGTCTCTGTCTCAAACAAACAAAAACAAAACAAAAACAAAAACAAACAAACAACAAAAAAATTCCTGGAGGGCTCGTGATACCAAGTGCAGAATGCTAGTAATACCACAGTAATACGAAGTGCAGAAGAGAATTTAAACACTCATTGGTAACATATGACAATTCTGAACCTCAAAATAGTTCTACAAACAATTTTCAAAATAAAATTGTTAAAACACAATCTAAAATAGGCATTTGAGAAGAGAAGCAAAATGAACAAAACCCAGAAGTATATCGATTATGCAAATTCCTACGGGGTCTATGTATGTTCTGTAACTATAGTAAGTTCTGAACTCAATATGCTGAGACACTAGGCTGCAGCAGATAAAGAGGTTTGATCATAAAGTCACTGGAAAAGGAGATGGGAGAAAACATCAAACCTATCTTCTCCAGGAATTTGAAGTTAAGATTCTTAAGAATTTTGGAGTAGTCCAAAGTGTGGAGATTATTGATTGGTCAATGAGTGCAGAGTGAAGTGATGGTACAGGGAGATAAAGTTGCATTTTCATGCTGATCTCATTCCTCTGTGGAGGTCTTTAAACTAGTTGCTGGAATCCAGGATCTGAAAAAACATATTAAGTGATCCTTAAAAAAAAAAAGCCTTGTGATTCTAATGTCAGAGATCCTGTCTATAGGAACAATGGGAATGCAAATGGTGAGACTTCTAGCAACAAGAAAGTGAGTCAAAATGTAGCCCAACTAAAGCTTAATTATAACTTTATTTCTGAACAGAACCTAGCAGGCAATTCTTGTGAACGCTATGTGGCTGGTTTCAGTCACAAAATGCAACTTTAAAATAAACATGTTTACAGTGGTCAAGGAGTAAAATGAAAAAAAAAGTTTCTATGTGGATGAGGTTGGAACTTCACTAGGAAGGAACAAGAAAACTTACTGGTACAATGGAAATGTCTGTATTTTTAAAAATTCATGCATGGATTTATGAAAAGAAAATAAATCTTGGGACCCCAAACTCATTAAACCAGAAGGAAAAGTTAAGCTGGAAACTGGGTCACACAAACCTGCCTACCTCTTTTGGTTCCTAAATAAGACGGCTACAAGATGAAAAGCTACGTGCCTCCCCCATATTTTTGCCCACAAGGAAATTCTTAGTGAGCTCCCAGATCTTTAAGGTGTTTCTGTTGAAATTTCACCATGGCAATGTAAATTAATAGCTTATCTTTACAGTTGAATTCACCCCCGCCTCCACCTGACACAAATATGTATCTGATTATTCCCCTGCAACATTTTGTGTATGTTATCGTATGTAAAAATGCAGATTCCGTGCATTTTTCCTCTGCCCCATTTATCTATGTCATCTTACATAAAAAAAAAAAATGCAGATTAACTGAGCCAGACAAAGGCATGAATTACTATTTTTTCTACTCCCCGCCCCCACCACCTTACGTGAAAATTGTTTCTTTCTTAATATCCCGCCCTTTCCCCTTTAAATTTGGATCCCTCAAAATTGTCTTCAGGGAAAGGCATAGACTTGTCTCCTGGGCACGTGTCCTTAACTTTGACAAAGAAACTGTAAAATGATTGATAGTTGTCTTGTGAGAGGAGAGAGAGAGAAATCAACTAGATAGTTAGGGCAAGGGTCCCCGGTGGAATTCCCTTCTAACAAAAAGCAGAGTGTCTTCTGACAAAGAGCAGCCCAAGAGGTCATTTCTCCTTCATGAAAGAGCAGCCTAAGCGATAAGGCGGCAAACGCAGATAACGAAGGCAAGCTCTAACACAGAAAGGGGCCTCCTGTGTGACATACAAAGATACAGTGGGTCCCAGGTAACACAGTCCTCCCTTCTTGGAAATACTCAGACAGGCAGGCTTGTGCAGGGGGAGCGCCTGACGCAGCACTGATAAGAGCTACTCTGAACCAGGCACGTCCACCTTAGAGGGTTCTGTTCTCTGCCTTTTTACACATGTGCAGCAGGAAGCGATAAACAACATGGAGTAACTCAAACTAAGAAGCCCGCATGTGCACTAGAAAGGGTGGGGCGGGAACTCAGAAATTTGCGCCTCAACCAAATGAAGCATGGCTCCCCTCCAGCTTTTCTATAAAAACCCTCGCATTTCACTGTAATACGGCAACCCATCTTTCTGGGAACCCTCTCTGCTCTAGAGAGCTTTCCTTCTTTCACTTATTTAACTACTGCTCTAACCTCACCTTTGGAGTATCCGAGTCCTTGATTTCGTTGGCCGTGACATCAACAACTTCGGGTGACACCTCAGACAATGAGGCTGGTTTCAGTCTCATCATTTTTCTCGATTGACAGATTATAACTAATTGAATGATACATTTTTTTCAGTCGTAGTAAAATTTTTCTGCAGTTTATATACTGTGGCCTCCTAAATGTTCACTGAAAATCACTGACATGAGGCAGGTTGATTAATCAGAGAAAACACATACACGTTTATGTGTAATAATGAGTCTACTATATGGGAGTCTTCAGAATGAAGACCCAACCCTCTAATAGGGTACAGAGGCTTATATACCATCTTGAGGTTACAGAAAGAATATGGGCATACAGCATGGCCAAAAACAGGTTTTAGTGCCAAGACAGGTTATTGGAAGGAGAAAGGAAGAGGCTTGACTAGCAAAACCAATCTTGTTATGTAGATGAAACCTCACAGGTAGCAGGTTTCAGAGAAAATAGGTGGTAAATATTTCTTTTCAGACCTATAAAGGTGTTAGATTCTCATTTAATCTTTCCTAGATCTGGACAAGGGAAGCATTGACTGCATTAATGAATCAACAGATCTACAGATGCAAATTTCCCCCATGAAAAACAACATGGCAGGGCCACTTCAGAATATGTGAAATAAATATATTTTAGGCTAAAATATTTTTATTTACTTTAACTGCTTTTGCTGCTTAAAAAAAAAAAAAAACTTTTAATTACTGTGCATTTAAACAAATACAAAACTCTGAGCTTGGAAGAGCACCTTAATCTGATCTGAAGAGGATGATACTAAGCTTTGACTGGAACATTGATTTCAGCTTTTTGAAACCCTGAGGAGAGAAACTGGCCAATACCTACCTGGACTTCTCACCTCCAGAAAATTTGATATAATAGATCTTTTTTTGTTTTTTAAACTTCTATGTTTGTGAGATTTTCTAACAAAATAATAGAAAACTAATACAAATACATTTTGGTATTACCATACAATAAAATGATCATTTCATTCCAATGGATTTGTGCATTTCATCACACATAGCATTGTCCTTAAGTGAAAATAAAATGAATTACTAAAAAATTATTGAGCTAAATTTAATCATAAGCATGCTGAAATACTTGGGGAGAAATGTAGTGATGTCTTTAACTTATTTTAAAATGAATGACAAGGTAGATTGATGAGTGGCTACAGTGGTGACAAGATGAATAGTTACATCACTAAATATTTCGTAAAATATTAACTGTTGAATGTAGGTGGTGCGTTAAAAATATTCATAGTCTGTATGTTTAAAAATATTATTTTTTTTAATTAAAAAAATTCCTTATCTTTTTTTCTGAGACAGGATCTCACTCTGTCACCCAGGCTGGAGTGCAGTGAAACAATCAGCCTCTACCTCCCCTGGCTCAGGTGATCCTCCTACCTCAGCCTCCAAAGTAGCATGAGCCACCATGCCTGGCAAATTTCTTTGTATTTTTTGTAGAAACAGGTTTTTGTCATGTTGTTCAGGCTTGTCTCAAACTCCTAGGCTCAAGCAATCCATCCACCTTGGCCTCCTGAACTGCTGAAATTACAGGCATGTGCCACCACATCCAGCCAATATTTCTTAATAAAATTTCAAAAAAAGAAAATATATATATATCTCAATATAATTTATCATATTAAAAGTTCATCACTTTAATCTCACAGATGCAGAGAAATGTTATAATAAAATTCACATCCATTCATAATAAAAACACAGCAAAAGAGGAATCCAGGGAAAGTATTAATTTGCTTTAAAATATGTACAAATAATGTTTTGTGAAATAATTTGCTTTTTAATGAAATATTAAAAGCTTTTCCACTAAGGCCAAGAATAAGACAAAGACACCTGATATAACTAGTTTTATTTATCATTTTACTTAGAAAGTATAGCCAGGCCAGTCATTTAATATAGAGAAAAAATATATATAATTCTTTTTTTTCTTTTTTTTTGAGATGAAGTCTCGCTCTTGTTCCCCAGGCTGGAGTGCAATGGTGCAATCTCAGCTCACTACAACCTCTGCTTCCCGGGTTCAAGCGATTCTACTGCCTCAGCCTCCCCAGTAGCTGGGATTACAGGCGCCTGCCACCACGCCTGGCTAATGTTTGTATCTTTAGTAGAGACGGGGTTTCACCATGTTGGCCAGGCTGGTCTCGAACTCCTGACCTCAGGTGATCTACCCGCCTTGGCCTCCCAATGTGCTGGGATTACAGGCGTGAGCCACCGCACCTAGCCAAATTCTTAAAAACAAAGAAAAAGCATTATTTAAAGATGACATCTTTTTGTTTTGGTTTGTTTTTGTAAAAAGGTCTTACTCTGTAGCCTAGGCTGGAATACAGTGGTGTGATCATGGCTCACTGCAGCCTCAACCTCCTAGGCTCAAGTGATGATCTTACCTCAACCTCCCAAGTGGTTGGAACTGTAGGCTCATGCCACCACACCCAGCTAATTTTTAACTCTTTGTAGAGATGAGATTTTTCTATGTTGCCTAGGCTGGTCTTGAACTCCTGGGCTCAAGAGATCCTTCCACCTTGGCGTCCCAAAGTGCTGGGATTACAGGTATGAACCACCATGCCTGGCCTGAAGATGGTATGGTTTTATACATTTAAAAAACCCAAAGTTAATGTTTTAGAATCAATAATCTACTTAATATTCATCTTTGCTGTAAGGCCAATATACAACAATCATTTATGTGTACATACCCCCAGCAAACAATAAGAAAATGAAACTCTAAAATAAATAATTACAATGGCATCAAAATTTCAAACAATTGGGATAAACTAATGAGCTGTAGAAGACCACCAAAGAGTAAAGTTTTTTTGTTGTTGTTGTTTTGTTTTGTTTTGTTTTGTTTTTGAAACGGAGTCTTGCACCCCAGGCTGGAGTGCAGTGGTGCGATCTCGGCTCACTGCAAGCTCCGCCTCCCATGTTCAAGCCATTCTCCTGCCTCGGCCTCCCACGTACCTGGGACTGCAGGCGCCCACCACCACGCCCGGCTAATTTTTGTATTTTTAGTAGAGACAGGCTTTCACCCTGTTAGCCAGGATGGTCTCGATCTCCTGACCTCGTGATCCATCCTCCTCAGCCTCCCAAAGTGCTGGGATTAAAGGTATGAGTCACTGTGCCCAGCCACCATAGAGTAAAGTTTTAATGGTCATTGAAAAAATTAAGAAAGACATAAATAAACGGGGAAATATACCATGTCTATGGAATAGAAGACTAACTACTGAAAAGAATTATGTTATTCATAAAATAATTAAGACATTCAGTGTATTCTTTATCAGAATTCTTTGGTTGATTTTAATGGAATCCTGTCAACTACATCTAAAAGTTATATGGAAATGTAGAGGGCTAAAAATATTTAAGATACTCTTAAAAAGAATTACATGGTGGGGTGAATATTACTACTAGATATCGTGATCGAAATCCACAGAAATCAAGAAAGTGTAGTCTTGGTGCAAGTATTGACAAATGGACTGATGGAACCAATAACACATATGGATATTTATGACAGAGGTGACATTTCATGGAAGTGAAAAAAGAGCAGTATTTTCAATAAATAGTGTTAAGGTGGTTGAATATAATTGTATAATTATAAAGAACAAGAAAAACCTGGCCTTATTAATCAAACTACACACTAAAATTAATTTAAGATATATTGTAGATCTAAATGTAAAAATCAAAAATTAAAGTTTCTAGAAGATAATATAATATTTAAATAATCTTGGAGTAAGTAAGACTGCTTAAACAATACATAATATAAACTATTCGTAAAGAAAATGGTTGGTATAATGTCTTACCATAAATTAAGAAAAGCAATTCATTAGAAAGTATCATTAAGATAGTGAAAATGATGTCAGAGGGTGGAACAAGATATCTGCAACACAAATAATGGAATAGAGGGTTTAGGAATGTTTGCGGGACAATTACCAAGAAGAAAGACAAGCCAGTAGTCAAAAAAATAAGTACCTAGAATAGGTGTTTACAAAAGAAACCATCTGTGTTGTTCAGAATCTCTCCAGAGAAATAAAGCCATACATATATATGATTCTCTTTCTCTTTTTTTCAAAGAGATTTTAAGGATTGGCTCACATAATTGTGGGAGCTGGCAAGTTCAAAATCTGCAGAGTAGGCCAGCAGGCTGTACACTCAGGGAATAGTTGATGAGTTGATGTCGCAATTCAAGTCCAAAGGCAGTTTCTAGCAGAATTCCTTTTGTCTGGGGCAGGTTAATATTTTTTTTTATTAACACCTTCCACTGATTGTATGAGGCTCCCGTACATTATGGAGAGTAATCTGATTTACTCAAAGACTACTGTTTTAAATGTTAATCTCATCTGAAAAATATCTTCACAGAAACATCTAAAAAAACATTTCACCAAGTATCTAAATATCATGGCCCAGTTAGTTGGCAATTAAGATTAGTGTTTATACTCTAAGTAATCAAAGAAAATGTGCTTTATGCTATAAATAATAAGGGAAAAAGCTAACTTAAACCACAATGAGATATTAAAACATGTACCACAATAACTAAAACTTCAAAATTTGCTGTTTGAGGATAAAGCAGGATTGCAAACAGGTAAAATTTTTGGAAAACTGTCTCATATTATGGACTGAAAGTAAAATTGTATGTTATCTATATACTAGAAATCCCAATAGTGAGATTTCTAGTATATAGATAATATACAATTTCTAAGGTATGTGTACCAAGATCCATGTACAAAAATGTTGAAAACACCATTATTTCTAATATTCCAAAAGTAGAAATGACCCAAATACCCATCATCAATAGAGGGGATAGACAAGTTGTATATTTCTACAATGGAGAGTTACAAAAAAAATTAAAATAACAGAATAATAGTTAATGCAGTAGCATGTTTAAATATTAACAACATGAATTTATGCAAAATAATCTAGTCACAAAACATACTTGCATGATTGAATTTATTTATATAAATTTCAAGTGACAGCCCAAACTAAAACTAAACTATTTTATTAAGCAGTACATGCTTACATTGTAAAATTATAAAGAAAAATAACAAAGTGGTTACTATACAAGTGAGTATAGTAGTTATTTTTGTGCATATGGGAAGGCAGGAATAAATGAGATTCTGTGGAGTCAGCAATGTTTTATATTTGACTTGGTTGATTTTTACACAGGTGATTTTAATTTGTAATAAAATCAAATGAATGTCATTCATTTTTTCTTTCTTTTCTACTTTTTCTCTTTCATTACCTTCTCCAGCTAAATGCTCCAGTCACTGACCTATAATTTACATGCACTGTCCTGTGTCTAGATACTCTCCAGATTATTCAGATGGCTTCAGTTTCTAAGAAAGTAAGTTATAGTCATATTTTTCTAGGCCAGCAGTAATTCCTGAAATGTTTCTCATTGAGAAATATGCTTTAAGCACATTGTAAATCTGCCTCCTCTTTTTCCTTCATGCACAGACTCATAACCATCTCTGAAGTAAGTTATCAAAAGAACTTTGACACCTGATACCCTGCCTACTTTATGCTATAATAGATTACCAGAATGTGACACAAGACCAAGTGGCTCAAGGGTCCTGTCTTGGTAATTAGACAGTGCTGTATACCAGATACAGTAAATTCATAGATATTTCAAAACATTCAAACAAGAACTTTAAGAGTTTTTCCTCATAGTCTCATTTATTTTGTTCAATATACCTGTAGATTCTCAACTCTCTTTACTGAGTTTCACCATATGTCATATTGCCTCTTATTTATATTTACAAATAAGATTTTAGAATTGATAGCTTCCTGTGAACTGACTTTTCATCATTTTTAAGAAAGTTTTTGAATTTAGAATGTGCAAAATGTGCAATAAAAACTTCTATCTCTTGTTAGGTGAGGTCATATTTTTCTCATATTCCATCTGTGAGCTTAAAGAATGCATTTCCTGTCTTGCTCTTTTAGAGACATCAAAGTATATTATATTTGGAAAGTTCTGGTAATAATTTAGAGAATCACTAATTGTACAGAAAAGCTAAAGCTGACAGCAGGAATAAAAGTGTAATAAAAAAATCTGTGGTAGTATAGGCAATGATGAGAAGAAGGCCTCAAGCTGTGAATAAAAAATAAGGAATATTTTTATAATCTACAAGCTTAAAATTTCCAAGAATACAACACCTACATTATAGTTATTTTTGTAAGGCTTTTGGAAAGTACATTCAAGGATTAGAGAATTTTGGATCAAATGTCTTCTTATTAGTTGAGTTGTGGGCATATCACTCAGAATAAAAATTTTCTTCTCTATAAAATGAGGATAAGTAACACCTATAACTTTGTAGTATTGTGTGGATTATTGGAAGAACATAGGGAAAATGTTTAGCACAGTGCTTAGCACTTAGTAAATGGTTAATACATTTTTTCTGTCTTTATTATAACTCTGAATTAGGACAAATTATATTTATAATGGCCACAGCATACTTTTTGATAAAAATGCGGGAGCCTGCATTTGAAAATTATTGTAAATTTTAGTTATCCTTGACTTGTTATGTAAGATAATAAAGCACTAAGAATTAATGCTTGTTTGGGAAGAGAAATAATTATTATAGTCAATGTTTCCAGATTCCCAATCGATCTTTAAGATTTAGAAACGGAATATCAGAATTCCCAAGAATTCTTTGAAATTCTCAAAATCAGGGGTTACTATGCATTTTTAATAAGAGTTTATTTACATAATTTTGAATAATAAGTGATCCTAATAGCAGTGAATCATTTTTTCTAAATAAGATTATGCTTAAAGTTCCAAATGTATTTTTCATTAAAAAATATAATAGTAAATGCATAATTTATTATCATGAGCTAGTATATTATGATAAAATTGTATACTTCAATACATGTAAAAATGACTTTCTGATATTGACATGATAATGTTCCCTTCTTTCAATATTTTTATAACACAAAATAAATTACAAGTAAAAAATAATTCAAAATTTGAAATATCAAAACAAAATTATTCAATATTTTAAATCTATTTTTAAAATAAATTATTAAGATACACAAAGCATATATATTACTCTATTGCTCTGTTTGATAGTCTTGATCTTTGTTTCATGCAAGTATTTCAGACAAAATTTTATTTTTCATTTACATTGATTGAAATGCTAAGAATGTAGGCAAAAACATCTTCAAATTGGTCATTAAGGTACATGTGCTTCAGATACACACATTTCCTTGTAAATAATAAAATATTTTGTCTGCTTATAACAATTTTTGTTTTGCAGTTGACATCACATGGCTTATGTTAATTCAGATTTTAGATTGATTTCTAATCTTATTACGCAGTATTTTACAGCAGCACTCATACCTTCTTTTTGCATTGCTTCTGTTAAAATATGTACATATAACTCTGGCCTATTAAAATTATTTAAATACTGAAAAACACCAGTAAATATTATTGAGTAATATTAAAATAACTGAGAATTCAGATTTCCTAGCATGGTTAACAGCACTACACAGAATCATGTGTCAAAATTGCTACTTTGCTTCTAAAACTTGTTATTTCTTGGAACTCCACTCACAGGATTTTTATGAAGTATATCATGCACATGTATTTATTTTATTTGCAAAAATCACTTGCTGTTAGCAGCAAAGCAACAGATGCACATTTATCGCAGGACAACAGCTACCTGAAAAATGACTTAGATTGCTCATGTGTCACTCCCGTGTGTTCCTGTATTTCTAGAAATGTGGAATTCAACATGGATTCACCAAGTCAGTGTTGCCTTCTTTTATTTTTGACTTGATGTTACTGGATTTCTTAGTACTTAGTACTAGTTAACATTTCTGTGTTAATTTTTATGCTTTATCTCTAACAGGAAGTTTATGATACTTTTCTCCATTTTTCCAATTTCTCAAGCAATTTTTCTAGAGATTCAGAATTTGGAAAACCGTGTACCTAAAGAAAGGCTTAGAGGGGATTTGTGCCTGGAAACACCAATGTTGTTGGACAATGAAGGCAAGCATGGATTTTCTTTTTCATTTAATATGACCCCAAGAAATAACATTACTATTATATATTTGAGTAAATCAAAAATTTAAATGCATATCGCTTGGCTTGCCAGTTCATTTGGCCAATAGAACTATATATATATTTTACATATATGTTACATATAATGTAAATATATTAATTACATATATTATATATAATGCAAACATATTTATTATATATCTTTTATATAATGTAAATATATACAATGTAAATATATATGTAATATATATTAGCAATATAGTATAATATATATTACATATATGTATATATTATACTATAGTATAATATATATTACATAATATATATGTAAAATATATTAGTAATATAGTATAATATATATTACATAATGTAATATATATACATGCAATATATGTATATAATATATATAATACATATATGTAACATATATTATATAATGTATATAATACATATATGTTACATATATGTATATAATATATATAATACATATATGTAACATATATTATATAATATATGTAAAATATATATATAGTTCTTGAAATGCTAAGAATATAGGCAAAAACATTCAAATTGGTCATTAGGGTACATGTTGCTTCAGATACACACATTACCTTGTAAATGATAAAATATTTTGTCTGCTTATACCAGTTTTTGTTTTGCAGCTGATATCACATGGCTTATGCTAATTCAGAGTTTAGATTGATTTCTAAACTTATTACACAGTGTTTTACAGCAACGCTCATACTTTCTTAATATTATATATGTAAAATATGTATTTTATATATAGATATATATGTATGATCATATTCTCTTTTAAATGAGTGATAAATCACTCTGATTTTATTTGTCAGTCTCTAAATCTCAACGCTTAAGTATATTTAAAAACAGGAAAGGAAGGGACAGAACTACCAAAGGTTCATTGCCAATAATTTCTCTTTGCTTTCAGATGAAATGTTTTCTTCAGGATCATTCTCATGTTAGTTGAGTATTGCAAATCGTTAGTGATAGAAGCAGAAGGCAGACAACTGCCTAGGAAGATAGGAGCAGGTCCCCAGTGAAACCTGGCCTTCAAGCTGGAAAGAGTCCTTGGACTGGATTGAGAACCTACCTTCCCGTTTGGGATGCTTTCCTCTGATTGATCCCCATCCTTCTCCTATTTTACATATACTTACCCTTTCCTAATTGGCTTTCTACACTGTTGTGCCCACGTTTGAGTGATGTCTTCGCTTTGACCTTTTTGCATGCTCACAAACTGATCAGTACATACCCCCTATTCTGAGCCCATAAAAGGTCCTGGGCTCAACCATATTAGGGTTCTCTCCTGTCTTTGAGTGGGAGAACTACCCCCAGCCTCCCCTCTTTTTGCTGAGAGCTTTCTTTTCCCTTGATAAATTCTACTCCACTAACTTTTTGATGTCTGCGTGCCTAATTTTTCCTGGTCGTGAGACAAGAACCTGGACCTAGCTGAGCTAAGGAGCAAAAATCCTGCATCATTAAAACTAAAGAACTAATTGTTCATATGCTGAGATTGTGCCACTGTACTCCAGCCTGGGCAACAGAGAGAGATTCCATCTCAAAAAAAAAAAAAAAAAAAGTTACTACTTTGTAACTTTTATTTTTATGTAACTTTATTTTAACTTTATTTTATTGTAACTTTATTTTAAAAACAAAGTATTTGCTATTGTATTTGTTCAAAAAAGCTTACAAATCAAAATGAGAGAACTATTCTGTTTCTCAACCCTGAGAAACTACTTAATGTTTTCTGACTCCTTTCGATGTATAGTCAGCATTCGACTTTCCATATCTGAACCTCCTACACACACTGTCTCTTTGATGTAAAAACTGCAGGCAAAAATTCCATATTGCATGCATTTTTGCCTTAAACCTTTTTAACTGAAATGATATAGATGAAAAGAAACCATACAGTGGCGGGGGGAGTATAAAAAAACTAGACAAAAGTGAATAAAAGAATTCTATTCAATTATTACTCCCCACAAACTCAGTTTCATGTTTAAAATTTTCTTATTAAAACTATTTAAATCAATTGCAGGTTAAAACTGTAATATTTTTCTCTTATATATTTTGTCTTACTTAAACATTTTAGTTTGAATTAAGTAATAAAATATTATTCTTTTATGCATAAAATTTGCCATTTGCTATTCTAGAAATTCGATTTGATATATATTTTTTTGTACAGAAAGAGAGCAAAATAAGTTCTGCTCTATCACAAAATAATCTTTTATTTGTGATAATTTGAAAACAATTTTAGATTAGTTAGGTAAATTCATTCTTGGGTAGAGCCTTAGCAGAGTGTTTTGGAGGAAATCTGTAAAAAATCAAAATAGTAATGGTTAGGCATTCAATTATTTTCACATCCCTATATCCAATCATTCAGTACAGAAAAATAAGCATTTATTTTGTGCTTTCTATGTACCAGGGACTGAGCTAAACATAAGTTAAAATTTTTTTCTATTTTACTTAAATAACTCACTTTTTTGTATCACAAAGGTGCAAATATAGACAAGAGAGGATTTGTTTTGTTTTTAAATAAACAGTTTTCCTATCTCTCTGCTTTCTTACCTAATGTAAATATAACACTAAACTAAAACCAGAAGCTTATGTTTTTAAAGAGAACATAAGAATTCATTTAAAAAAAAACCAGAAGTTTACACTGTAAACTGCTTTTGAGATTCTCATATATGATAAGGAGTGTGGTTAAAAAGAAAGCGAAATACATAGTACATGATTCTCCTTTGTTTGCAATTGATGAGCATGACAAGGTATACTCATTTATTACCATATGGTGTTTCTCTCCTAAAAGTGTTTCTAGGCACCAGTTTCTTACGACTCTCTGCTGCCCTTCAGTGCAACACACAGGTTTCTTCGAGTCCTGACCTACTCTAGCATTTTTTAAAATGATATTTAATTTTTGTAGTGTCCATAAATTAATACATTATTTGTCATTTGTTTTGAATACAGAACACCATCTGCTTCTTAGAGTCCCAAATGTCTGCTTGATGTGCTTTGCCTCCCATTCCATAAAAGTACCAGTTGTGCTGCCAGATCTTTGGAGTACTAGCAAAAACACTTGATTTTTTACCAGTAATGGCATAATAAATTACATCACACATTTTTTTTTCAATCAACTGGGACTCTTGCCTGCCATTTAAAATTGACGTATGTTGCCAGTGACAAACACCTGATATTTACAGATTCTATTCTCATCATTACTCATTTCCGGTGTGGCGGGGGGTTGGGGGCTAGCACACAGAAAAATGTACGATGGAGGTGCTACCACTTTTTCTTGTTTGAAAATGTACCATTTCTACATATCTTGTCCTGTGGCACACTAGCTCTGCAACTACAATTTTGTTTCTCAGAAGGGAGTCTTGAGTCATGGAGGTGGCACAACAGCCCAGCATTGTCAATAAACTCAGGCAACTTGAAATAAGCATTGTTAACAGTACATGTAAGGAACTACAAAATCTATAAGGTGTAGCTATCTCTCTGGCATATACTGAATTACTCATTCTTGTTCTTTCAATGTCTAATGATTGAATAGAAATAAAACTGAGGAAACAAAGGAGGCAATATGAAAACCTCTTGAAAATAAAGTAGTACCTGTTAATTCAAAGTATCACTACAACTCTAAAGAAGAATTGAAGAAGCACTTATAAGAGTGGGAAGGTCATCAGTGTTGATGAGGTACTAATTCATTGAACAATATCAATAATATAACAATAATCAGTGAAAATGAAATTAAGTTTATCAGTGACCATAGGACCAAATGTGTTTTGAGCAAAATGTATTTCTTTATATGGAGACTCAAAGAACACTGCTATAATTATGGCTGAACTTCATGGATAGTAAAAACTTTAAGAGCTGTGACACCCTGGGAGAACCAGGTGGATAAGAAAAGAAACTGCAGCCAAAGAATTCTTCAGCTGCAAAGTGGTACAAAGTGGAACTTCAGACACTTATATGGTTGGCCACAGGCTCTACTAGATTATAAGTACCTGGAATCCATGAATGAAAGCATCAGAGGTCATTTTGCTAATCAGTGACTTTGGGAGTGATCTAGAATAGAAGACTAGAGATTCAGGATGCAAGGCCTGAATTTATTCTAACAATGTCCAGTACATCAAATATCACCGAAACAGGTCTGAGAAACAGGGTCAAGATTGACTAAATCAACTCTGGAGGTTACTTAGGGTAAATTCCTCAATAAATAAAAGCTTGCAAGGGATTTTAAATTAAAGTTATCTGCAATGAAGTATTTTCTTGATCTGCAAGTTGCATATGTTTTCTGTTCTTTCTTTCTCTCTTCCTATTGAGAAAGACTCTCTCCTTGACTGAACTATAGTCAGGCTCCTCTAAGTCTTATTTTGGTTTAAACATTCACATTAGCCCCCATCTAATCTTTAAACTGCATAGCCCAGTTTTAGAAAGAATTCTACTAAATCAGTTAATTTAGCAAGAATCTCCCATTCTTGATGTCTTCTCTTTGTAGTTTGCTATCCACTGAAACCCTCCTCAACTTTTCCCGTCTCTGCTCCTTGGCTATTAGCCACAGCTGTCTTTCTGCATTCAGATTTGAACCAGATCACTCTCCCCTACTGCAATAGTTTTTACATCTATAGCAACAGCTCTGAATAAACTCTTCCTTACCATTTTAACAAGTGCATAAATAATTTTGTTTTTAACACTAAAAAGTGAGAGTATGAAATAGACGGTAAATGCATTTCAAAACCTCTATTATCATATGATTTTGAAAACTGATTTTTTTTCTATTACACCTATTAGATGGATTGTTAATAAAGCTCTATGTTCTATCCCTTGTCCAGGATTGTTAAAAGTGTAAAATTGGCATTTACTTATTGGGGATTTTATGTTTTTGAGTAAAGATCAACTGATTTCAAATTTAATATCCCCAAAACACAAGGTTTTAAAGCCATTAATCATCGGAAACAAAGTTACCATATTCTTTAACTAGGATACAATCTCTCCATCTCCTTTTCTTTGCAGAAATCTGTAAACCTTTCCAGAGGTCCAAACCACTTTGGTGGAGAGAATTGCTTTCCATGTAGCAAAATTCTACTTTACATATTCCCTAGCGAATGAGTGGTATCAACAGTATGTTGGTAAACCTCCATGAATTCAGTAATTGTTCCCAGGCTGTTTCAATTGTCACATTGTTTTAAATTCAAGAATCTGGTAACATTAGGGAGGAAGTCACTGACTGCTTCTAAACCAAACTGACCCACAGGCTACATGCAGTCCAGGACAGCTTTGAATGCCGCCCCACACAAACTCATAAACTTTCTGAAAACATAATGAGATTATTTTGTGATTTCTTTTTTAGCTTATCAGCTATCATTAGTGTTAGTATATTTTATGTTTGGCCCAAGACAATTCTTCCTCTAATGTGGCCCAGGGAAACCAAAAGATTAGACACTGCTGTTCTAAACAGAAAGACGACAATGCATACAAGACTGCTGACCTTAATATCAAATACTCATGAGAGGGTTACCTTGTTTGTAAATCACATATAGAGAACAATTTCAAAAATGACAACTAAATTATCATAAAATGCATATTGATATTCTTACAATTATTGTTTAACTAAACATCTGACTATGTAAACATACAAAAAAAACAGAAAAAAATCACCTTTCTCTAGCCTATTTATTAAGATATTAAATGAATACATAAAATAAAATAATACTATAAGGAGGCAAATCTTTGCATACCTAAAGACAAAGAAGAAGAATCTTACCTAGAAGATTATAGCAGGAAAAAAATTACTACAAACACACACACAGAGACATCTGTATCATTCCAACTCTTGTTTGTAAAGAGAAAGGAAGTTTATTTTTTAAAAAAATTATTCAAACGTAATAGATAGAAATAAGTACACACAGATTTGTGGATATAAATAGGCTAGTGCATGAATCCAGAATAAGCAGATTCACTCTCTGAGGATGAATAAATATTCTATTAGGAATAATCTGGACAAAAGCATAGTTTTAAATATAGTTCTACAAATTATGTTGATTATTCTAAAAATGAAATAATGTATTTTGCAGCAACTTAGATGGAACCAGAGATCATTATCTCAAGTTGTTACAATAGGTAGCTAGTCAGCCACCAACAGGGTGGAAGAGAGTTTTTCCTTGCCGCCAGGAATATCAGGGGACCATCAGGTGATGGTCAGGCAGTTGTTACACAGTCTCTAAAATAGTAATTGGTCACAGCAGGTGCCAGGGAAAGGCAGTCTCCCTATAGATAGAAAAAAAACCTGAAACTGGTGATCAGTAGCTTCTCGATAAGATATCAGGAGTTGGAAAAATGCCTAAGAGGCAAGATGGCAGAGTTTAACTGGTATATGATTTCTTAGGGACATTTGGCTGGTAAAGAAAGAACACCTCAAGTGAGCATTCATACAACTCCAGTAAACACACCGCACATGCTCCCCTCCCAACTGCTGGCAGGCCACTGCGCATGCAGACAGCCCACCCCAAAGGTGAAGTCAGGGGAGAAGTTATGCAAAGCCCCAGAATTATGCCAACATATAAAACCTCAGGTCAAAAGGTAAAACTGCACACTTGTCTTTCAAGTTGACCACTTGACCTTCTTCCAAGTATACTTTCCTTCCTTTTGTTTCTGCTCTAGAGCTTTTAAAATAAAGTTTTACTCCTGCTCTAAAATTTCCCTGGGTTTCTCCTTCTACCTTAGGCTCCTCAGTTGAATTATTTCTTCTGAGGTGGCAAGAATCGAGGTTGCTGCAGACCCATACAGATTCGTTGCCGCCAAAATATTTTGGTGCCATGTGACTCAGATAACTTCCACTGCTAACATACTTTGGTGCTACATGACTTGAATACATTCCCTAGTGGTAAGAGATCTCTACCCCTCATCTTCTTTGGCTGGGGATGTTCAACCACTGCACATGGTTTCTTCTCCCTGTCTCCCTTCTGCTTATTAACAAACATCTAGAACAAGTCCTTTTGGCCATAAGTGACTGTGTTTCCCCAGCTTATCACTCAGCTCACCCAGAAGGGTGACTCGTGGGGATGGGATTGGCCTTGGGGTCTGAACTGAGTAGAATGGAGGCACTAATGGCCCTCCTGGACAGGTGGCTCATGAGAGTGGTAGGGATAAAACCTAAAACCGTGCAATGCTGGGGATTCGTCTGCTTTTTCAACTAAAATGGGCTGTTTCCCAAGAACTCACATTGCCAATTTTTTTTTTTTTCTGTGTGTGTTCTAAAATGGCCTTGCACACCCACCAGACTGTCCACCTCAGGGGCAACTCCAACCCTTTGCTTTTACTTCACATGTCACGTGACCTCATCACACACTTCCTGTTATTCTTGCACCTGTGGCTGTTACTGCACTTGCACAGCAGCAAAGAAACGACTTTCCTTTCGGATGTCTACTGGCCCATTGCCAGGACAGACAATAATTGGAACCTAGCTCTGCCATCTCCTTATAACTTAGCATATGCTTTTAATTCCTGTTATGCCCCAGGGCCAAGTTTCCCAGGGTCTTGAAGCAGTTTGTCCACCTATATAGGGCCTCACTCTTGCCCTTGAAGGAGCCCACCTATTTGTGCTTTTTTGAGTTAGCACCTTTTTTGCAGGAGGGGATTTTTTTCTTTGCCATTTATGAGTTCTTATCCCAAGCCCCAAGTCCTCCGGAAGTTACTACTTTACATCAAGAGGGCAAATAAACATTACCCTCTTGAATCCAAAGGCTGCTGGATTCTTGCTTCTTCTCACTTCTTCCTGTGGCCTCCATTTCTCTAATTATTTTCGCATCCTTCTCAATATGCATCAAGACCTTCAAGGTCATATTTGAAGCAAGTGGGGAGGAAAGTCCAGCCCCCTTGTAGCAGTTAGCTATAAGGCTTCTCATCTACTTAAAGAACATGGGAAATGAGAATCTAAGAAAATATATATACCTTTTTCTGGAAGGCTTTACGCAACAGTCATTACAAGGTCACGAAGACAAGGATATAGGCCGGGCCAAGGCTGCAGGTGCAAGAGACCCATAGGGCAGAGATGAAGGTTGGTCCCAGGCTAACCGATTACCATCAGAACAGAGATAAAGGCAAGGTTACAGGTACACAGTAAGACGGGTTCATTCCAGAACCCCAAGGATAAACAGGGGGCCCACTGTTCACTCCAGTATCTCCTCTGTTCCCAAGTGGATAATTGTGAACAGATGACACCAAAGGTACATGGTAAAACCGGTTAATTCTGGAACCCTAAGGACAATGGGAGATGCCCCATTCAGAATAATAGAAAAGTAGAGGGAACACCTTCTTCTTTCTTTTTTCTTTCTTTTCTCCTGTTTTCTTTGCAGATGGGTAATCACATCTTTTTTGTTTTGTTTTTTTGTTTTGTTTTTGAGATGGAGTTTCACTCTTGTTGCCCAGGCTGGAGTGCAATAGTGCGTGATCTTGGCTCATCACAAGCTCTGCCTCCTGGTTCAAGAGATTCTCCTGCCTCAGCCTCCTGAGTAGCTGGGATTATAGGCATGAGCCACCACACCCGGCTAATTTTGTATTTTTAGTAGAGATGGGGTTTCTCCATGTTGGTCAGGCTGGTCTCAAACTCCTGACCTCAGGTGATCCACCCCCTCAGCCTCCCAAAGTGCTGGGATTACAGGCATGAGCCACTGCATCCAGCCTAGCAATCACATCTTTATACCACAGGACATGCCCCTCAGATGCATTCCCCTAAAACTGGAAAATGTGTGATTCCCCTAAACCTTAACACATAAAATGAGTTTTCTGTTTTAATATTGTTTGGCTTTAAAATAAACTGGGAAAAAATTACAAAAGTCAGCCTTGGAATGCAGTGCCCCTGTGCTGGAGGTCTTGAGATTAGCTTCCTCAGTCTTTTATAACTGAGAGTAGAATATGGACGACAGGGCTAAGAACAGGAGAAATGCAGGGAAAGGAGGCAGGCTAACTATTTTGACTGCTTTACAAGCTCTCCAGCCCCTTCCAGGTTGCCCTAATAACACTCCTTCAGGTAACTGCCATTGGTGCAGTAAGCCAGGCCACTGGAAGGCAAACTGTCCCAATGGGATAAATGGCAAAAGCTGCACACAGCTTGCCCCTCTGCCACAAGCTTGGCCGCTGGAACAGGACTGCCCTGAGAGCGGAAGGGCCCCTGGGAAATAATCCCAACCTTTTATGGCCTTGAGCAGAATGGGCTGTCTGGACCAATCGGCTCCCAGATCAGACATCATCAATGGAACAAAGCCAAGAGCAACTCTGGAGGAGGCAAGTAAAATTATAAATTTCCCTTTTGGGCTTAAGAGCTGCCTAGTCTGAGCTAATCTTCCCTGAGCAACTCTCTTTCAACTCCTATTGGCTAATGGAGGTTAATGGCACTACCTTCCTCCAAAAGAGTATTTACACTTCGGGGCAAAAATGTACTTTCTAAGATGGATGACTTCTTAATATTTACCCTACCTCTGAATTTAATATTTACCCTACCTCTGAATTTATCTTTCTCCCTAATAACTACTTCAATCTGGTCAGTCCTACCTCATGGGTTTAGAAATAGTCCACACTTATTCAGAAAAGCCCTAAAAAAATCTTACCAAGCAATCTCTTGAGGGGAGATAACATCTGCAGTATGCAGATAACCTGCCTATTTGCTCCCTCTTCACAGTATATACACAGCAACATGTAGTACAAACCATAATTTCTTAACAGAAATAAAATGACTTTTGTCTAATTCAAAGGTTATAAAGGCAAAGAGGTATTTTTGGTAAGGAATGTTATAAAGAAAAGGGATTTTATATAAGAAAATATCTTGTATGGTAAATTGTTGTCCCAAAGTAAAATAACAGGGTGTTTAAAAAGAGGAATGTTTAGGACAAATCAGAAAGTTAAAACATGTTGTAGAAGATTTGTGTAAGTTGGGAGAAGACTCATGAAAGGAAATTTAAGAAAAAAATATTAAACAATTTAAAGGCTATTAAGCCTCCTTTATGCTTCATAAACTGCTACTAAGACTCTTAATTATGCAAGTTGTTTGCTTTCAAGCTAGGTAAGGCCTGGGGACATACAAAGTTAATCAGGTCCCTAGCTATAATAAAGGTTCAAACCTTATCTGCACTGCTGTCTGGTGTCCTAGGCTAGATACCTAGTACATAATTAGAATTGCTTACTTACCACGTATTTCCCCAAAACTAAAAGTTGCTAAGAGTTAACATTGTAACATGTACCTGAGTCTATTGGAAAAACAGTTTTACACACAAGGCATGCAAGGAAAGTAGAATGTGCTTTTGGTAGAAGATTATAAGAAGGCATGGGAATGTGGATATTTTGCCTTACTTAGAGGGTTAAAAGATTGTTTTAAGTTAGGATATAGCTAAAGGTTTAGGCAAGTCGTGCAAGGCTTGTGAAAAATTCATCTTGTAAAGAAATTGTGGTTGTGGACATATTAGCTAAAACTAAAGTGGTATTATTCAGTTTATCTGTAAATTGAACATTGGAATAAAAAGCATGACACATTTTGCCTAGAGCATTATTCTGCTCTTTAACAGAAAATGGTAAAGGCTTATAAAAGGTTTATGAGATTCTTACCTTACGGTCAGACTGCTTCCCTTATACAACTGAATGCCTTTAACAAAACCCATGTCACCTCTTGAATGCTTTACTACTTAAAAATTTCTTCCACCAGATGCCCTAAATCATCTTTCTCAAGTTCAAAATTCCACAAATCTCTAGGGCAGGGGCAAAATGCCACAGGTCTCTTTGCTAAAACATAAGAAGAGTCACATTTGCTCCAGCTCCCAACAAGTTCTTCATCTCCATCGGGGACTACCTCAGTCTCACCTCAGGTTTAATTGGACTTACTGTTCCACATGGCTAGGTAGGCTTCAGATTCATGGCAGGAGGTGAAAGGCACTTCTTACACAGTGGTGGCAAGAGCAAATGAGAAAGATGCAAAAGTGGAAACCCCTGATAAATCCATCACATATTGTATGTCTTATTCACTACCACGAGAAGAATATGGGGGAACTGTCCCATGATTCAAATTATCTCCCACCAGGTCCCTCCCACAACATGCAGGAATTATGGGAGTATAATTCAAGATGAGACTTGGGTGGGGACACAGAACCAAACCATATCACCTTGTTTTAATCCTCTAAAAGGTGGTTACATAATCAGCTACAGGACTTTACTAATGTGTTTATAAATTTCAAGCAAAACAGGAAATAGTTGCATACATTTAACTAATAAAAGACCCAAGTAATCTTTTTTGACTTTCGCTTAAAATGTTGCCAATCCATTCTTTGTTTTTTCAAAGCCAAGAAAAATTTTCTTTTGAGCTACTTATAGCTTTTAACAATTGAGCACTCCTGTAGACAAAACTTGGAGCATATTTATTTCTCTCTACCTGATTTCTCCAGAATTTGGAAACTATCTGTGAAGTATTCTTAACTTATGGCAATATCGTTATTTGCATATGTGCAATAAGAATCTGTTCTCTTTTACAACAGGACATAACTGGAGAAACTGGTTATTTTATTATACCAAGGCTTTGACTAGAATGGTGTACTTTCCTTTAAGAAATCAAACTTTACTTATAGAGTCTAGAAAAGCCCCTTGCGAAAACTGGCCTCATAGCTTTTCTCCACATATTTTGTCCTTGTCCCTGTACAGAGTTCCTGAACTGTGATAAGTAAAGAATGTCACTTTCTAACAATCACAGGAACCCCAAGTTATTTTGAGACCTCAATAGGAGAGAAATTTACCCCTCATAAATGTATTTAATGGCACCAATCCATGGCTGTGCTTAAGGCTTCAAACAGAGTCTTATCTGAGATTCCTTATGGAATGAAGTTGCATCAAAGCCAAATTAAAAAGAAACCTATATGGCAAATAATTATTTTTGCTGTGCTTTATGCAAATAATCAGGCCAAGTAAAATAAGACTAAAGCTTTTTTTTTTTTTTTTTTTTTTTTTTGCAAACAACGCTATATTTGTTTTGAATAACAAATGAGGACTGGAGACTGAAAAATTATGTTTCAAGAACTATGGTATACCTATTATTAGATTCTAGTCTCATCAGTTGTTTTTGAGTTTTTATCTGCAATTTAGACTAACCCTGCCTATTTCTGTGAACCAACCAGTGATCTCTGGCTGCAGCTCCGAAGAAACAAAGGGATAGGTAATGTAAAAATCTGAATCAATATTCTAATTCTGGGCACATACTGCAATCAGTTAGCAACCCCATAAATCCAAGACTAAGCAGGCATGAATATAGCGACCAGTTACCTGGGCATGTTGGCAGTCTCGGAATTTTTTGGAGCTGTTATTACCCACTTAATTTGTTTTGACATTCTAATAACTCAGTTTGTCTTCTCAGCTTCACACCATCCAGCTCCAGATAATGGAGGCAAAATCCTGCCGCTGTCTCCCTAGGACCTGGTTGGATACCACTTTTACCAAATCATGAAGCCACCTTCCTGCCCTTACAGCTAGAAACAGGCCAAGACCCACAGAACAACCATCACTGCCCCTCTGTCAGCAGGCAGCAGTTACAGAAGATGGACCTGCATCCATTTTCCCCAAATAATTGGGGTCTTGGACTCTTGAGAGAAGAAATATTACAGTAAATAGCTAGTCAGACATGAACAGGGCAGGAAAGGGTGCCTCCTCAACAAAGAATATCAGGCAACCATCAGGTGATGGTCAAGCAGTTACACTGCCCCTCTAAAATAGTAATTGGTCACAGCCAGCACCAGAGAAAGGAAGTTTACCTGTAGATAGAAAAAACCTGAAACTGGTGATCAGTAGCTTCCCGGTAAGATCTCAGGAGTTGGGCGAGTGAGCTGAAGCTTGCGTACTAAGAGGAAAATGGCAGAGCTCAACTGGTATACGATCTCTGTGAAAGGAAAATAAATCTTGGGGCCCCAAAATAATTAAGCTAAAAAGAAAACTCAAGCTGGGAACTGCTTAGGGTAAACCTGCCTCCCATTCTATTCAAAATCATCCCTCTGCTCACTGAGATAAATGCCTATCTGATTGCCTCCTTTGGAAAGGCTAATCAGAAACTCAAAAGAATGCAATCATTTGTCTCTCATCTACCTGTGACCTGGAAGCCCCCTCGCTGCTTTGAGTTGTCCCACCTTTTTGGACGGAATCAATGTACATCATACAGATATTGATTGATGTCTCATGTCTCCCTAAAATGTAAAAACCAAGCTGTGCTTTGACCACCTTGGGCATGTGTCGTCAGGACCTCCTGAGGCTGTGTAATGGGTGCACATCTTAAACCTTGGCAAAATAACCTTCCTAAATTTCCTGAGACCTGTCTTAGATATTCAGCATTCACATTTTGGCAATCATGAAGAGATTCTGAGTAGAAGCATCCTTGACCTTTGACAAATCTCCTATTGGTGCTTGGTACCAGCTTGAGCTATCTTTATGGCTCAAACCAATAGGGCAATTTGCTTAGGCCTGGAAGCACCCCGTCCAAAGAATCCCTGGTATCCCAAAATTTGGTCGAGATTTGAAGTATGTTTTGCTGTACAACTCCCTTTTATGGAATTTTACTTGCGAGTAACAAGAAATGCAAGTTTTCCTGCTTGCATGATGATGGAAGATGGGTAACTTTTTTATGGAGTTTGAGCTCGCTTCCAACAGGGAAGACAAATTTGAGTTTTTTCCTGCTTCTAGGATGGACAGTCTTCAGCCTGAGGCCCATCCCTAGGTGATTAGCTCAATTGGGGTTTGTCCTTGCTAAAGTTAAGATTAACAACCAGCTTGTCTTAATTTCTCCTTACCATTAGAGTGCTAAGTAATTGTACAAGTTGTGCGATCATTTGTTTTGCTTAACTGTTTTGTTGTTGTTGTTTGTTTCTGTTTTTGTTGTTGTTTCAGTCTTTTTCCCATTGGGTTTCATCAGCTCTATCTGACTTGATAAAATCCAAAAGGAAGTTTCAAATTATGGGGAACAAGGCCCTAAAGTGGCTAAATTCCCCCTCCCCCCTCCCCACAAAAAGGTGGTATAGTTGAGGGGGAAATGGCCTGCAAAAGAAAAAGATTTTTTATTTTGACTTCTTAAGGGGCTTTATTTACATAACAAGGCCACCTTTTCACTAGCCATTTCACTAGCCAGGCCAAACTAAAAGAGCAATGGTTGTTTCCCCACACTGTAGTTCCATAGCTATGCTTCTGCCTTTGTTTTTTACCATGACAGCCTGGGTTTGGTTCCTAAAACAAGCCGTTTCTGGTTTGATGCTTGGTACTTCTGAAGTAGCGGCAATTTTCCCTAGCTGAAATATGGTAATGAGATTTTTAAAAAAAGATTTTTTTAAAGGAGTTCAATGGTTAAAAGTCAGCTTAACTAAAAGCCAGCATCCAAGATGTATGTGTGTATGTTTGCATGTGTGTGTGTGTTTGTATTTGAAAGGTCTTCATATTTTTGTTTTACTTTTCTTTTCACCTAGGACTTTGCCTTTCTGAGCAAAAGTTAATTTCCTTCTCAGTTGACTGAATTCTGTTTCCTTTATTTACTTCTGCGTCTCTCCTTTCTCTTGCATCCTCTGTTGCATGAGGGACCTAAAATAGTTTCTAATTGCCTGGGGGTTAATTAGAAAATGGAGAAGGTGCCAGACTCACTTCTGGGGAGAAACCTCTGTTTTTCCTTATGGAACCCCAAGAGTGTAAACAGAAAAGTTTAACTCTGCCTTTAAACTGCTTGCTTTTGTATTGTGTTACCTGATTTTTTGACTAAGATAGTTGTTGCAACAGAGGCTACTCTTGGGTTTTTAAGGAAGAGTGTAGAGACTTAGAAATGTCTTTGTTTAAAAAAATTATGGTGCACTGTAAACTCATCACAGGGCCTAGTCTCATAATTTTCTTTTGGAGACTCACGATTCAGTGTGGGCTCTGCTCAGAGCTCAGAGATCCGGTTAAAAATAGGTAGTCCCTATCTAAATAAAATTGGTATCCTTATACACTCTTATGATAAATTTTTATTTTAATGTTTAATGTGGCATCCATCTTTAATCTCCCTCTAGAACCACCAGATTTTTTCTCTCTGAACCTTGAGAAGTAAATTTTGCTATTTGATTTTTCACGTAAGAGTTGTTTCCTTTAATATGCAGATTTATCTGACAACTTCCAGGATAATGAAACAGGTTATCAAGAGATTGCAAGTCTAAGATGGGGGAAAAAAAAGGTCTCATGAATCAATAAGATGTACTTCTATTGGCATGCCAAATACGTCTGTGTATTTATGGGTTGTGTACACAGTGTTTCACTATTTAAAATATATAAAAGAGCTCTAATTAATTGGCTTAAAGAGAAATAAAAACACTTAAATCAATACCAGAACAAAGGAAAGACTAGTTAAATGTTTTTTCAAGTTTATATGACTTAAGTAAATTCTCTAATAAATAAGCTAGTTGAAAATTATTGGTAAAGTAACATTAAAAATGTCTTAGGAACTTCCAGCATACATTTTCATTTGCATTTATTGATCAAGCAATTTCATACTTATCCCTGTCAACTGCTATGTGTCAGAGTTTGGCATAGGCAATACAAAACTATAAAACCCAGACCAAAACAGAATGATGTTTGCTTGTGTGATTTTTGATAAATAAGACATTGATATTGGTTTAATAAAAATAGCTACATCTGGAATTATTTAGTACAGTTACCATAACGGCCTTAAGCAGTCTATTCCACAGGTAGTAAGGAGCTTTGTTTTGAGAAAGGACTGTTCTTATCTTTGTTTCAAAGCTAAACTATAAACTAAGTTCCCTCCAAAGTTACTATGGCCTATGTCCAGGAATAAACAAGGACAGCTGGAGGTTAGAAACAGGATGGAGTCAGTTAGGTGAGATATGTTTCACTGTCTCAGTTATAATTTTGCAATGGTAGTTTTATAACTTACATAATAACTATTGCAGTTTTCATAAAAAATCTATGTAAATGATTAAAATAATTAGGTAAATGTAATAGGATAAAAACTTGTAGACAAACATGACAATTTAATATGTAAAGTTAAATAATAGATATTTCATTATTTTGGTATTTTTTGATAATAATATATTGTAGAAAATCTCTTTTTCTAAAAAAGTGTTCTTTTTAAAACAGTGAACATTTTTTGTCTAACTCAAATTTCATTTAAATATTATATATAAAACAAGGTAAAAAGAGCCAGGAAATAAGAGAGATGTGAAGAAAGTTACAGAAATAAAGAGTTATTTGTTGGTGAGAAAGCCTTAAAAGACATAGTTTTATATGAGTAAAAAAATTTGTATTCTAAATTTAGTCTTAGAGGCTTTATTAAAAACAAATCTTTGTGTGATAAAGTTGTTTATAATTAAAGGGAAATTATAATGGTCTTTCTAGAAATTAGGTTTCATGTTAAAAAACACTTCCACACTAAAGAATTGGTTAGAAGAGTGAAATTTCTGAAGGGATTGATTTACTCTGAATACATTATAAGATATTTTCATTATTTTTAACCATAAGTTCAACTTTTATTACGTCTCATCATTTTTGTTTTGTCTCCGCTTTTAAAAGGCGTGAAATAGTAACGCTCTCCTTCAACTCATTTTCAGCTCATATATGCTTCCCCCCCCGCCAGGTTCTCTTTGTTATGGCCTGATGCTAACAATGTTTTCTGAAAGGTCTGAAGGAAATGTTTTCTTCCAACATAATATTCTGTGCACTGCAGAAGGTCTTTTTATTTATTTATTTATTTAATTATACTTTAAGTTCTGGGATATATGTGCAGAATGTGCAGGTTTGTTACATAGGTATACATGTGCCATGGTGGTTTGCTGCACCCATCAACCTGTCATCTACATTAGCTATTTCTCCTAATGCTATCCCTCCCCTTGCCCCCCACCCCCCGACAGGCCCCAGTGTGTGATGTTCCCCTCCCTGTGTCCATGTGTTCACATTGTTTGACATTAGTGAGAGCGTGCGGTGTTTGGTTTTCTGTTCCTGTGTCAGTTTGCTGAGAGTAGTGGTTTCCAGCTTCATCCATGTCCCTGCAAAGGACATGAATTAATCCTCTTTTATGGCTGCATAGTATTCCATGGTGTATATGTGCCACATTTTCTTTATCCAGTCTATCACTGATGGGCATCTGGGTTGGTTCCAAGTGTTTGCTACTGTAAATAGTACTGAAATAAACACACGTGTGCATGTGTCTTTGTAGTAGAATTACTTATAATTTTTTGGATATATACCCAATAATGGGATTGCTGGGTCAAATAGTATTTCTAGTTCTAGATCCTTGAGGAATCGCCACACTGTCTTCCACAATGGTTGAATTAATTTACATTCTCACCAACAGTGTAAAAGCATTCCTATTTCTCCTCATCGTCTCCAGCATCTGTTGTTTCCTTACTTTTAAATGACTGCCATTCTTTTTGTTTTTTTTTTTTTTTGAGACGGAGTCTCACTCTGTTGCCAGGCTGGAGTGCAGTGGTGCCATCTCAGCTCACTACAACCTCTGCCTCCCGGGTTCAAGTGATTCTCCTGCCTCAGCCTCCCAAGTAGCTGGGACTACAGGCATACATCACCACGCCCAGCTAATTTTTGTATTTTTTAGTAGAGATGAGGTTTCACCTTGTTGGTCAGGCTGGTCTCGATCTCTTGACCTCATGATCCGCCTGCCTCGGCCTCCCAAAGTGCTGGGATTACAGGCGTGAGCCACCGCGCCTGTCCTCAAATGACCACCATTCTAACTGGCATAAGATGGTACCTCATTGTGGTTTTGATTTGCATTTCTCCAATGACCAGTGATGATGAGCTTTTTTTCATATGTTTGTTGGCCGCATAAATGTCTTCTTTTGAGAACTGTCTGTTCATATCCTTCACTCACTTTTTGATGGGGTTGTTTGTTGTTTTCTTGTAAATTTGTTTAAGTTCTTTGTAGATTCTGGATATTAGCCCTTTGTAAGATGGATAGATTGCAAAAATTTTCTCTCATTCTGCAGGTTGCCTGTTCACTCTGGTGATAGTTTCTTTTGCTTTGCAGAAGCTCTTTAGATTAATTAGATCCCATTTGTCCATTTTGTCTTCTGTTGCCATTCCTTTGGGGTTTTAGTCATGAAGTCTTTGCCCATGCCTATGTCCTGAATGGTGTTTCTAGGTTCTCTTCTAGGGTTTTTAGGTCTTACATTTAAGTCTTTAGTCCATCTTGAGTTAATTTTTATATAAGGTGTAAGAAAGGGGTCCAGTGTCAGTTTTCTGCATATGGAAAACCAGTTTTCCCAAAACCATTTATTAAATAAGGAATCCTTTCCCCATTGCTTGTTTTTGTCAGGTTTGTCAAAGATGAGATGGTTGCAGATGTGTCGCATTATTTCTGAGGCCTCTGTTCTGTTCCATTGGTCTATATATCTGATTTGGAACCAGTACCATGCTGTTTTGGTTACTGCAGACTTGTAGTATAATGTGAAGTCAGGTATCCTGATGCCTCCAGCTTTGTTCTTTTTGCTTAGGATTCTCTTGGCTTTATGGGCTCTTTTTTGGTTCCATATGAAATTTAAAGTAGTTTTTTCTAATTATGTGAAGAAAGTCAATGGTAGTTGATGGGGATGGCATTGAATCTATAAATTACTTTTGGCAGTGTGGCCATTTTCAGGATATTGATTCTTCCTGTACATGAACATGGAATGTTTTTTCATTTGTTTGTGTCCTCTCTTATCTCCTTGAGCAGTGATTTGTATTTCTCCTTGAAGAGGTCCTTCACATCCCTTGTAAGTTGTATTCCTAGGTATTTTATTCTCTTTGTAGCAACTGTGAACTGGATTTCACTCGTGATTTGGCTCTCTGTCTATTATTGTTGTATAGGAATGCTTGTGATTTTTGCACATTGATTTTGTATCCCAAGATGTTGCTGAAGCTGCTTATCAGCTTAAGAAGATTTGGGGTTGATACAATGGAGTTTTCTAAATATACAATCATGTCATTTGCAAACAGAGACAATTTGACTTCCTCTCTTCCCATTTGAATACACTTTATTTCTTTCTCTTACCTGATTGCTTTGGCCAGAACTTCCAATAGTCCGTTGAATAAGAGTGGTGAGAGAGGGCATCCTTGTCTTGCGCTGGTTTTCAAACAGAATGCTTCCAGCTTTTGCCCATCCAGTATGATATTGGCTGTGGGTTTGTCATAAATAGCTGTTATTATTTTGAGATACATTGCATCAAAACCTAGTTTGTTAAGAGTTTTTAGCATGAAGAGGTGTTGAATTTTATCAAAGGCCTTTACTGCATCTATTGAGATAATCGTGGTTTTTGTCATTGGTTCTGTTTATGTGAGGGGTTACGTTTAATGATTTGAAGATGTTGAACCTACCTTGCATCCCAGAGATGAAGCTGACTTGATCATGGTGGATAAGCTTTTTGATGTGATGCTGGATTCGGTTTGTCAGTATTTTATTGAAGATTTTCACATCAATGTTCCTCAGGGATATTGGCCTGAAATTTTCTTTTTTTGTTATGTCTCTGCCAGGTTTTGGTATCAGGAGGATGCTGGCCTCATAAAATGAGTTTGGGAGGATTCCCTCTTTTTCTATTGTTTGGAATAGTTTCAGAAGGAATGCTACCAGCTCCTCTTTGCACCTTTGGTAGAATTCAACTGTGAAGGCTTCTGGTACTGTTTTTTTTTTTTTTATTGGTAGGCTATTAATTACTGCCTCAATTTCAGAACTTGTTATTGGTCTATTCAGGCATTTGACTTCTTCCTGATTTAGTCTTGGGAGGGTGTGCGTGTCCAGGAACTTTTCTATTTCTTCTAGATTTTCCAGTTTACTTGCATAGAAGTGTTTCTAGTATTCTCTGATGGTAGTTTGTATTTCTGTGGGATTGGTAGTGATATCCCCTTTGTCATTTATTATTGTGTCTATTTGATTCTTCTCTCTCTTCTTTTTTTAATTAGTCTGGTTAGTGGTCTATCTATTTTGTTAATCTTTTCAAAAAGCCAGCTTCTGGATGCATTGATTTTTGGAAAGGTTTTTCATATCTCTGTCTCCTTCAGTTCTGCTCTGATCTTATTTATTTCTTGTCTTCTGGTAGGTTTTGAATTTGTTTGCTCTTGCTTCTCTAGTTGTTTTAATTGTGATGTTAGGGTGTCGATTTTAGATCTTTCCTGCTTTCTCCTGTGGACTTTCAGTGCTATAAATTTCCCTCTAAACACTGCTTTAAATATGTCCCAGAGATTCTGATACATTATGTCTTTGTTCTTATTGGTTTCAAATAACATCTTTTTTTCTGCCTTAATTTCATTATTTACCCAGTAGCCATTCAGGAGCAGGCTGATCAGTTTCCATGTAGTTGTACGGTTTTGAATGAGTTTCTTAATCCTGAGTTCTAATTTGATTGCACTGTGGCCTGGGAGACTGTTTGTTATCATTTCCATTCTTTTGCATTTGCTGAGGGGTGTTTTACTTCCAATTATGTGTTCAATTTTAGAATAAGTGTGATGTGGTACTGAGAAGAATGTATATTCTGTTGATTTGAAGTGGAGAGTTCTGTAGATGTCTATTAGGTCTGTTTGGTCCAGAGTTCAGTTCAATTCCTGAATATTCTTGTTAATTTTCTGTCTCGTTGTTCTGTCTAATATTGACAGTGGGGTGTTAAAGTCTCCCACTATTATTGTGTGGGGGTCTAAGTCTCTTTGTAAGTTTCTAAGAACTTGTTTTATGAGTCTGGGTGCTCCTGTATTGGGTGCATATATATTTAGGATAGTGAGCTCTTCTTGTTGCATTGGTCCCTTTACCATTATGTAATGCCCTTCTTTGTCTTTTTTGATCTTTGTTGGTTTAACGTCTGTTTTATCAGAGACTAGGATTGCAACCTCTGCTTTTTTTTCCCCTTCCATTTGCTTCGTAAATATTCCTCTATCTCTTATTTTGAGCCTATGTGTGTCTTTGCACGTGAGATGGGTCTCCTGAATACAGCACACTGATGGGCCTTGACTCTTTATCCAATTTGCCAGTCTGTGTCTTTTAATTGGGGCATTTAGCCCATTTACATTTAAGGTTAATATTGTTATGTGTGAATTTGATCCTGTCATTATGATGCTAGCTTGTTATTTTGCCTGTTAGTTGATGCAGTTTCTTCACAGTGTCAATGGTCTTTACAATTTGCTATGTTTTTGCAGTGGCTGATACTGGTTTTTCCTTTCCATGTTTAGTGCTTCCTTCAGGAGCTCTTGTAAGGCAGGCTTGGTGGTGACAAAATCTTTCAGCATTTGCTTGTCTGTAAGGATTTTATTTCTCCTTCGCTTATAAAGCTTAGTTTGGCTGGATACAAAATTCTGGGTTGAAGATTCTTGTCTTTAAGAATGTTGAATATCCCCCCCCACTGTCTTCTGGCTTGTACGGTTTCTGCAGAGAGATCTGCTGCTAATCTGATGGACTTCCCCTTGTGAGTAACCCGAACTTTCTCTGGCTGCCCTTAACATTTTTCCTTCATTTCAACCTTGGTGAATCTGACAATTATGTGTCTTGGGGTTGCTCTTCTCAAGGAGTATCTTTGTGGTGTTCTCTGTATTTCCTGAATTTGAATGTTGGCCTGTCTTGCTAGGTTGGGGAAGTTCTCCTGGGTAATATCCTGAAGAGAGTTTTCCAACTTGGCTCCGTTTTCCCCGTCACTTTCAGGTACACCAATCAAACGCAGATTTGGTCTTTTCACATAGTCCCGTATTTCTTGGAGGCTTTGTTCATTCCTTTTCTTTCTTTTTCTGTCATCTTGTCTTCATGCTTTATTTCATTAAGTAGATTGTCAGTCTCTGATATCCTTTCTTTTGCTTGATCGATTGGCTATTGATACTTGTGTATGCTTCACGAAGTTCTCATGCTGTTTTTCAACTCCATCAGGTCATTTATCTTCTTCTCTAAACTGGTTATTCTAGTTAGTAATTCCTCTAACCTTTTCTTCAAGGTTCTTAACTTCCTTGCATTGGGTTAGAACATGCTCTTTTAGCTTGGAGGAGTTTGTTATTACCCACCTTCTGAAGCCTACTTCTGTCAAATCATAAAACTCATTCTCTGTCCAGTTTTTTTCTCTTGCTGGCAAGGAGTTTTGATCCTTTGTAGGAGGAGAAGAGGCATTCTTTTTGTTGAATTTTCAGCCTTTTTTTCCCCTGGGTTTTCCTCATCTTCATGGATTTATCTGCCGTTGGTCTTTGATGTTGGTGACTTTCAGATGAGATCATTGTTTGGACATCTTTTTGTTGATGTCGATGCTATTCCTTTCTGTGTGTTAGTTTTCCTTCTAACAGTCAGGCCCCTCTGCTGCAGGTCTGCTGGCATTTGCTGGAGGTCTACTTTAGACCCTGTTTGCCTGGGTATCACCAGCAGAGGCTGCAGAATAGCAAAGATTGCTGTCTGTTCCTTCCTCTGGAAGCTTCATCTCAGAGAGGCACCCACCAGATGCCAGCTGGAGCTGTCCCGTACGAGATGTCTGTTGACGCCTGCTGGGAGGTGTCTCCCAGTCAGGAGACATGAGTGTCAGGGACCCACTTGAAGAAGCAGTCTGTCCCTTAGCAGAATTCGAGTGCTGTGCTGGGAGATCTGCTGCTCTTTTCAGAGCCAGCAGGCAGAAATGTTTAAGTCCACTGAAGTTGCACCCACAGCCACCTCTTCCCCCAGGTGCTCTTTCCCAGGGAGAAGGGTGTTTTATCTATAAGCCCTTGACAGGAGCTGCTGCCTTTCTTTCAGAGATGACCTGCCCAGAGAGGAAGAATCTAGAGAGGCAGTCTGGCTACAGCGGCTTTGCCGAGCTGCGGTGGGCTCTGTCTAGTTCAAATTTCCCGGCAGCTTTGTTTACACTGTGAGGGGAAAACCACCTACTCAAGCCTCAGTAATGGTGCACGCCCCTGCCCGCACCAAGCTTGAGCATCCCAGGTCAATTTTGGACTGCTGTGCTGGCAGCGAGAATCTCAAGCCAGTGGATATTAGCTTGCTGGGCTCTGTAGGGGTGGGATCCACTGAGCTAGACCACTTGGCTCCCTGGCTTCATCCCCCTTTCCAGAGGAGTGAACAGTTCTGACTCGCTGGTGTTCCACATGCCTCTGGTGTGTGAAAAAAAAAAACTCCTGCAGCTAGCTCACTGTCTACCCAAACAGCCACCCAGTTTTGTGCTTAAAACCCAGGTTATTGGTGGTGTAGGCACCCGAGGGAATCTCCTGGTCTGTGGGTTGTGAAGACCATGGGAAAAAGTGTAGTATCTGGGCCAGATTGCACTGTTCCTCATGGCACAGTCCCTCATGGCTTCCCTTGGCTAGGGGAGGGAGTTCCCTGGCCCCTTGTGCTTCCCAGGTGAGGCAATGTCCCCCCTTGCTTCAGCTCACCATCCAGGGACTGTACTCACTGTCTAACCAGTCCCAATGAGTTGAGCATGGTACCTCAGTTGGAAATGCAGAAATCACCCACCTTCTGCATTGATCTCCCTGGGAGCTGCAGAGTGGAGCTCTTCCTATTCAGCCATCTTGCCAGCCATCAAAGGTCTTTTATTTTGCTTTTTGGTAACTGGCCTAACAGATTTTAAATTTTTTGAAATAATTCCTATGCTATTATTGTTAAGTTTTGGTTTGCTTAGAAGAAAAAACTGAGATTAAAATATTTTTTTCTTAATTAAGGTTATACATCTGTGTATCTTTCTGTATGTGCTTTTAAAGTCCTTATGACATTGAGTTACAGGCCTTTGACTCCTTGATCTGAAAAGGACACCAAGTCCTGCTAAATCTTAAACACTGACAGCAATTAAAACCTCATCTTCAGGCCCAGTCAAAGGCACTAATCAAACTAAACTGCATTTCTGAGACACAGGGCCAGAAATTAAAGCTATTCAACTCCTCAAGGCCCAGGGACTACTGCGGAAGAGAAGGGCATGTGAGATTGTAAGACACAATTTTGAGAGATAAAATAAGTTCAATTTCTCTATAAATTAACCATTAATACCAAAGGCATACTGATGCATGACCAGCATATTGGCCTTTATGTCAGATTAACAAGCTTTTCTTGAAGCATTAACCAACTTTTTAATAAAGGTTATGAAAGGATTATGGAAATTATATCTTATGGTCAAGGTGATTAGAATTTAAAGATTGTTTATAAAATTTTGAAAAACAAGTTTAATTGGCTTTATGCTGCTTTATTAGGGCTTATTGTTTGGAAAATTAAGTATCCTCTCTTAAAGAATGAAGTTTTGCCTTTTTTTGAAATCCTTGAGTTATTACTTTTGTTAAAGGGATGACTTGTTTTACAATGACCTGGGATCCTATTTTGTGATATCAAGTGTTTTAAATCTTTGATATTTGACAAATTTTCCAAAATGAATTTGTAAACTGCGTTTTTTTTTTTTCTGACCTAACTATTCCTTTAAGATATTACTTTCCCTAAAGTTTTAAAATGACATATTTGGCTTGTTTGGTATAAAAATCATACAGGAAGCACTGTAAAATATGAAATGATGTTTAGTCTTTTCTGGGCTGTATTTGTGTAAATATGTTATTGGTATGTGTTCCAACATTTGGGAAGCTCCTATAATTATAATATGACTTAGTGTACATTATCAGAAATAATTATAATTGCTATGTTAAATTATTGTTTGCCAGAGAGATAACAAATTTCCTCCTTAATTGTATCTTTGACTATAGCTACCCTAAAGCTTTTTGTCATCCACAAACAAATGTTGTTTTGTTTTGGTTCTCTTTAGAAGGTGGTTTTATAATCAGCTATAAAACTAACAGGTATTCTTGAATGTAGGGTTCTGATAACTTTGGTGATTGTGACATTAGAATAGAGAAAAAACTTTCAGTACTCTCATAGACAGCTGGAATGTTTATGAATATCATGCAGAACAGAAGTGAACTGCATGGACTAAACTAATAGAAGACTAAAGTAATCTTTTGACTTTTTTACTGAAAACAATGTTGACCCTTTTATTGCTTTTCGCAGTCAAGGCAAGTTTTTTTGAGCTATTTACGGGTTGTAGCAATTGAGAAACTATACTCCTATCAACAAAATTTGAAGCATATTTGTTTCTCTCTACCTCATTTCTCCAGGATTTGAAAACTATTTGTGAGTGTTCTTAGTGTATGGCAAATAGTTATTTGCATAAGTGCACTAAGAATGTTTTATTTTGCAACAGGACACAATTGGATAAACTGGTTATTTTATCAAGACTTTGACTAGACTCATATGATTTCCTTTAAGGAATCAAACTTGACTTATAGAGCCAATAAAAGCCTTTTGGAAAAACTGGCCTCATACCTTTTCTCCACAGTCCCTGTACAGGATTTCTGACTGTGGTAAGTAAAGAAGGTCACGTTCTCATAGGTTTCAAGCTCTCCCACATTTCTGGAGGGACCAATGTACATCTTACATATATTGATTGATGTCTCATGTCTTTCTAAAATGTATAAAACCCAGCTGTGCTCCAACCACCTTGGGCACATGTCATTAGGACCTCCTGAGGCTGTGTCATGGAAGTGCATCCTCAACCTTGGCAAAATAAACTTTTTCAATTTACTGAGATCTGTCTCAGATATTCAGGGTTTACACCTCCTAGTGACATTTGGCTGGTAAGGGAAGAGCACCTCAAGTGAGCATGTGCACAACTCCAGTAAACACTCTTCATATTCTCACCTCCCCAGTGCTGGCTGGCCACTGTGCATGCAGAGAGTCCACCCCTAAGAAAATATCAGGGTAGAAGAGACACAAGACCCAGAAGTATGCCAACATATAAACCCCAAGTCAAAAGTTCAAATTGCACACTTGTCTTTCAAGTAACCCACTTGGTCTACTTCCAAATGTAGTTTTCTTCCTTTTGTTTCTGCTACAGAGCTTTTTAATAAACTTTTATTTCTGCTCTACACCTGGCCTTGTTCTCTTCTGCCTTATGCCAGTCAAATTCTCTTTTCTGAAGAGTGAAGAATTGAGGTAGCTGAAGACCCATATGGATTTACTGCCAGTAACAAAGTAACTCACAAACAGAAAATCAAATACTGCATGTTCTCACTTATAAGTTATAGCTAAGCTATGGGTATCCAAAGGTATACAGAGTGGCATAATGGACATTGGAGACTCAAAAAGGGAAGAAATGGGAGAGGGAGTGAGGAATGAGAAATTACTTATTGTGTATAACGTACATTATTTGGGTGATGGGTATACTAAAAGCCCAGACTTCACCATTGTACAATTTATCCGTGTTAATAAAAACCACTTATACTCCTAAAGTTATTAAAATAGAAATATTAAGCAATTTAAAATACATTTTAAAAAGTAAGTCTTTGTTTTAGTACCTACGGGGGTTTAATATTATGTTGTGATAACAGGAAGAGCATAGAAAGAAATTTGTATGATCACTGTGGTAGGGCTGTGAAAAATAAAGTATTGACACTTGTCATTTAAGAAATTGCTAAATTAGAATAGTACAAAATGCATATAGAATGTGTATTTAGGAGCATTCTACTAATGTTGGCTAATCCAGTTTTCTCTCCCTGGTTTTAAGTCTCTTTGGTAACTGAAATTACTACCCTTTGCTCCGATTCTGGGTGCAATGGTTTGTAGGCAACAATGTCTAACGTAGAAATCTTCTCTTTTTTTTGAGACAGGAGCTTACTCTGTTACCCAGCCTGAATTGCAGTGGCTCAATCAGAGCTCACTGCAGCCTTGATCTCCTGGACTCAAACAATTTCCCCTTCTCAGCCTCCCAACTAGCTGGGACTACAGGTGCATGCCACCATGTCCAGCTGATTTTCTTTTTTTGACTTTTAGTAGGGATGAGATCTTGTTATGTTGCCCAGGCAGGTTTTCAACTCCTGAACTCAAGTGATCTTTCCACTTTGGCCTCCCAATGTGCTGGCATTATAGGCATGAGCCACTGCACCTGGCCTAGACATAAATCTTATGCAGACTTGGAGGGTTGCTATTTGAAGTAGACTTGGTCCAAGAGAGGGCGATCTTTACTAAAATGGGGACTTGATTCTTTCCTATTTATTTATTTAGTTATTTTTGAGACAGAATCTCACTCTGTTGCCCAGGCTGGAGTGCAGTGGCATGATCTTGGCTCATTGCAAGCTCTGACTCCCGGGCTCAAGTGATTCTTGTGCCTCAGCCTTCTCCTGAGTAGCTGGGATTACAGGTGCCTGCCACCACACCCGGCTAATTTTTGTATTTTTCCTAGAGACGGGGTTTTACCACATTGGTCAGGCTGGTCTCGAACTCCTGACCTCAAGTAATCCACCCACCTTGGCCTCCCAAAGTGCTGCAATCACAGGCATGAGCCACCATGTCCTGCCTGATTCTGTCCTTTAAAGAAGCACCATGACAAGTTTGGTGTTTGTTTGTTTGCTTTCCTTTTTTTTTTTTTTTTTTAGATGGAGTCTCACTGTGTTGTCTGTTGCCCAGGCTGGAGTGCAGTGGCGCAATCTCAGCTCACTGCAAGCTCCGCCTCCCAGGTTCATGCCATTCTCCTGCCTTAGCCTCCCAAGTAGCTGGGACTACAGGCGCCCACAACCACACCTGGCTAATTTTTTTTTTTTGTATTTTTAGTAGAGACAGAGTTTCACCGTGTTAGCCAGGATGGTCTCGATCTCCTGACCTCATGATCTGCCTTCCTCAGCCTCCCAAAGTGTTGGGATTACAGGTGTGAGCCACCACGCCCATCCTGCTTCCCTTTCTAATTACCTCTACTAAAGCTATTGATTTAAACTTTATAATGGAATACTAGAATGAGGTGTTTGTATTTATAATTGTAACTCACTTAAAGGCTGGCCCTGTGTCAATTTCATGTATATTTTCTTTAAAAAAGCACCCTTTTAATATTTATTAAAAATATTAATTTACTTATAGAGGGCAAAATTATTTATATCAAGGTCCATAATTGAGTCAATCATTACATATAATATTCTGATATTTCTCAAACATAAACTTGTTAATAATGAGAAGCACAGAAATGCTAAATCAAAATAATAAAAAGCAGTTAGTCTACTACATTTCTAGCTAATCCAGAAATGTCTTTTTAGTCTTGCATGCTTTCTGAAAACATATATGCATTCAATCTGATAAATAATTATGGCGAAACAAAATTTTAAATATTTTTTGAATCTATAGAGGGATACATTTTAAACACAATACAGAAATTGGTTATTATTGACAGACAAGTGTTGGTTTTGATAAATGGATTTTTTTAAATGGTATATACTTGAATCATTTTACAGCTTTGCTTTTTATAGGTAAGAGAGGACATATTTTCAATTTATTCACAGCTAGATTTAATTGTGACTAAAACACATAACAGAAAATAGTTTATAATATAAAGAGCTTTCCAAAAATTTCAATGCTAGGAAATATAATCTAATAATTTATCATTGTATCTGAAGTGAAGCGTTCTAAGTTACTTATGAAATGGGATGGATGGTGTGAAGGGGGAGAAAGAAGAAAATGGAATTTAATCAGTGAAGAATGACTGCTAGATTAAGAGAAAAATAAAATCCTTAGTGAGACTAAAAAACCTGGGAAAATCCTGATTTCCTTAAGACCTTTAGTGATACCACAAAGATACACATAAATTCACACATTGGTACACCCACCCATACTTTTTGTGAGCCACACAATCTTCTGTCATTGAGGCTGCACTAGTAAGAAGCAGACACATTCCATTTCTTCATGGAACATACAATCTGATAAGGAAAATAGTTATCACTCAAAAAATAATAAATACACAAGTGGACAAGGAAACTAGGTAATTGTTATAAAGATAAAAATACATGGTAATATAAGATAAAATAGTAGAAAACAGAATCTCTAAGTCATCTACAAAGGTTTTCAGACAAAAATGAAATTTAGTTGACAATGGAATAAGTAGCGTTAGAGAAAGATTACAAGAAAAGTTCACTGTAGCTAGTTAAGATAGCATATACAGAGGGAAAATAACAAGTATCAGAAGTTGAAAGACTGCATATAAAAGAGGCAGAACAAGATGAAAGAATATAAAGCTCCATCCATCATCCACCCCCGACACCCTCCTGCAAAGACACCAATTTAATAACTATTTACTTGAGCAAAGCACCACAGGTGAGCACTCTCAGTACCTGCTTTTAACTTTGTATTGTTACATGATGCACTGAGGAGGAAAAAAAAGTATTGAATTGCTGATGCCACCCCTGCCACACCCACTGGCAGCAGCATGGTGCAGAGAGCATTTCTGTGTCTGGAGGGATGGAGAACACAGCAAACTATGAGGCACTGAACTCAGTGCTGCCCTGTTAGAGCAGAAAGGAAAACTAGGCCAAACTCAGATGGCACTCACCCATGGTGTCAGCATATAAACCAGTGGTGGGAGTAGAAAGGAAAATTAGGCCAAACTCAGCTGACACTCACCCATGGTGTCAGCATATAAACCATAGTGGGCGCTTATAAACCAGTCCTTGCTAGAGGGGAATTGTAGATCCCAGGATCCCAGGGGATGGAACTTGAGTTCCTGCAAACCTCACAGCCCCAGGCTGTGCTCTGTGTCTCTAAGTAAATTTGAAAGACAGTCTAGACCATAAGGACTGTAACTCTTAGGTGAGTCCCAGGGCTGAACTGGGCCCAGAGACAATGAACTGGGGGTGACATGATCTACTGAGACACCAGCTAACATGGATGTGGGAGTGCTGGCATCACCCCACACCTAGCCCCAGGCTGTACAACTTGTGGCTCCAAAAGATGCCTTTTCTTTTCAACTGAGGAGAGTAGAGAAAATAGTGGGGAGGACTTTGTCTTGCATCTTAGATATGAGCTCAGCCACAGCAGGATAGGGTACTGATCACAGTTTTGAGGCCCCCCATTCCAGGCCCTGGATCCCAGACATTTCTAGACACAGCCTAGGCCACAAGCAAACCTACTGCCTTGAAGAAAAAGACCTAGTCTTGGAACCATTTATTACCTGCTTACTGAAGAGCCCTTGAGCTCTGAATAACCAAGAGTGATATCCACGTACTACAATGAAGGCCTCAAGTGAAACTCTGAGACTTGCTGACACAAGGTACCATCTCAGCCATAGTGTGGGAGAGCACCAAGTAGAATCTTGGGGTTTCCAATTCCAGAACATGATTCTTGGATAACATTTCTGGACATGCTCTGGGAAAGAGGGGAGCTCACTGCTCTGAACAGTGAGTCCCAGGCCAGACAGCATTCATCACAAGCTGACTTAAGAGACCTTGGGCCTTACGGAAACATCAGCAGTAGTCTGGCAGTACTCCCCATGGGCTTGTAGTGGTGTTGGCCATGAGATGGGGCTGCTCTGCCTTTGGAAAGAGGAAGGAAGAATAAGAAAGACCGCATCTTGTGGTGTGAGTGCCAGGTCAGCAGCAATACAATAGAATACCAGGTAGACGTCTAAGTTTTTACTCTAATCCCTCACTTCTGGAAAGCACCTCTGGGCCCATTAGGTGCTGGGGTAACTCACTGCCATGAGTGGAAGGACACAGGCCTGGCTGGCTTTGCCACCTGCTGATTGTCAAGGCCTTTAGTAAACAGGCCTTAAGCTAACATAGTTAGTAGCCAGGAAAGTGGTTACAGCAGGTCTTGGGGAAGACCTAGTGTTATGCTGGCTTCATGTCTGACTCAGTGCAGTCCTAGTGATGGTGGCCACAGGGGTACTTGTGTTACTTCACTCCCAGATTTAGGTGGCTCAAAACAGCATAAGATACTCAATTTCTTTGTGAAAAAGTAAGGGAAGAGAACAAGAGTCTCTGCCTGGTAATCGAGAGAATTTCTCTGGATCTTTTACAAGATGATTGAGGTGGTACCTCTAGGAGTCTGCAAAAACAATAACATAACTGGGCTTGAGGCATTCCCAAAAGCATATATGGTGTTATCAAAACACACATCCTTTTGAATATCTGGAAAACCCTTCCAAGAAGAACAGGTACAAACAAATGAAGACAGTGAGGACTGCAATAAATACCTAACTCTTCAACACCCAGACACAGACAAACATCCACAAATATCAAGATGATCCAGGAAAACATGACCTCACCAAATGAACTAAATAAGGCGTCAAGAACCAATGCTGGAGAAATAGAGATATATGACTTTTCAGACAAAAAAGTTTAAAATAATTGATTTGAGGAAATTCAAAGTAATTCAAGATAGCACAGACAAGGAATTCAGAATCCTCTCAGATAAATTAACAAAGAGATTGAAATAAGTAAATAGAATAAAGCAGAAATTCTGGAGCTAAAAACATGCAACTGGCATACTGAAAAATTCATCAACGTCTTTTAAGAGCAGAATTGATCAAGCAGAAGAAAAAATTAATGAGCTTAGAGACAGGCTACTTGAAAATACACAGTCATAGGAGACAAAAGAAAAAAAAAACAACAAAGCATGCCTACAGAATCTAGAAAATGGCCTCAAAAACATCTAAGAGTAGTTGGCCTTAAAGAGGAGGGAGAGAAAGAATAGTGGTTTATTCAAAGGGATAATAACAGAGAACTCCCAAGCCTAGAGGAAGATATCAATATCCAAGTACAAGAAGGTTGTAGAACACCAAGCAGATTTAACCCAAAGAATACTACCTCAAGGCATTTAATAATCAAACTCTCAAAGGTCAAGGATGAAGAAGGGATCCTAAAAGCAGTAAGAGAAAAAAAAAACAAATAACACACAATAAAACTCCAAAATGACTGGCAGCAGACTTTTCAGTGGAAAACTTACCTCACCAGGAGAGAGTGCCAGGAGAGTGTGGCATGATATATTTAAAATGCTGAAGAAAAAGGAAAACTTTTACCCTAGAATAATATATATTGAGGAAATAGCATTCGAACATGAAGGAGAAATGAAGACTTTCCCAGAAAAATCAAAGCTGAGGTATTTCATTATCACCAGACCTGTCCTACAAGAAATGCTAATGGCAGTACATTAATCAGAAAGAAAAGAATGTTAATGAGCAAAACATAATCACCTGAAGGTACAAAAATCACAGGTAATATTAAGTACATGAAAAAAACACAGAATATTCTAACATTGTAAATATGGTATGAAAACCACTCTTATTCTAAGTAAAAAGATTAAAGGATGAACCAATCAAAAATAATAACTACAACAACTTTTCAAGACATAGACAGTGCAATGAAATATAAATAATAAATAAAAAGTTAAAAAGCAAGGAGATGAATTTCAATCATTGAGTTTATTTAGTTTTTTATACTCGTTTGTTTAAGCAAATTGTGTTAAGTTGTTATCAACTGAAAATAATGAGTTTTAAGATAGCATTTGCGAGCTTCATGGTAACCACAAACCAGAAAACATACAGAAGATACACAGACAATTAATAGCAGGAAACTAAATCATATTGAGATGATTATCTTCACGAATGTAATATAGGAAAAAAGTAAGGAAGGTACAAACAATTACATAAAACAACAAGAAAACAAATAACAACATGGCTGAAGTCTTTACTTGTTAATAATAACTGAATGGAAATGGACTAAACTATCCTAACAAAAGTCATAGAGTAGCTGAATGGATGAAAGAACAAGACCCATTGATCTGTTGCCTACAAGAAACATACTTCCCATATAAAAACATGCATAGGCTAAAAATAAAAAGATGGAAAAACCTTCCAAGCCAGTGAAAACCACAAAACAGCAGGAGTTGCTACACTTACATCAGACAAAATGGATTTCAAGACAGAAATTATAAAAAGAGACAAGGTCATTATATAATAATAAAGGAATCAATTCAACAAGATGATATAACAATTTAAAATATATATGTAACCAACATTGGAACACCCACTATATAAAAATTATATTAGCGCTAAAGAGAGAGAGAAGCCCCAATACAATAATAGCTAGAGACTTCAACATCCTACTTTCAGTATTAGACAGATCTTTCACACAGAAAATCAATAAAGAAACATCAAACTCAGTCTGCACTATGGAGCAAATGGACCTAATAGATATTTACAGAATATTTAATCGAAAAGCTGCTGAAAACATATTATTTTACTCAGCACATGGACCATTCTCAAGAATAAACCATATGTTATGTTACAAAACAAGTCTTAAAACACCAACAAAAAAAAGAATATCAAGTATTTCTGTGACCACAACAGAAAAAACAAGAACTCAATAACAAGAGGAATTTTGGAAACTATACAAATACATGGAAATTAAATAATATGCTCCCGAAGGGCCAGTGGGTTGATGAAGAAATTAAGAAGAAAATGGAATAATTTCTTGAAATGAATAATAATGCAAATACAACATACCAAAACCTATGGAATACAGCAAAAGTAGTACTCAGAGGTAAGTTTATAGCTACAAGTGCCTACATCAAAAATGAAAAAAAAAGTCAAATAAACAATCTAATGATGCATCATAAAGGACTAAAAAAGTAAGAAGAGAAGAAAAGAAATAATAAGGATTAGAGCAGAAATAAATGAAAAGGATGAAAACAGTAGAAAAGATGAGTGAAACAAAAAGTTGGTTTTTTGAAAAGTTAAATATAATTTACAAGCCTTTAGACAGACTGAGAATAAAGCAGAGAAGATCAAAATAAACAAAATCGGAATTGAAAAAAGGAGACATTACAACTGATGCTGCAGAAACCCAAAGCATCATTAGTGGCTACTATGAGCAACTAAGTGCCAATAAATTGGAAAATATAGATGAAATGGAAAAATTCCTAAACACATACAACCTATCAAAATTGAACCAGGAAGAAATCCAAAACTTGAACCAATAAATAACAAGTAATGGGATCATAGCCATAATAAAAAGTTTCCTAGTAAAGTAAAGCCTGGGACCTAATGGCTTCACAACTGAATTCCATCAGACATTTAAAGAACAACAAATACCAATCCTACTCAAAGTCTTCCAAAAAAATAGAGGAGGAGTGAATCCTTGCAAACTCATTCGATGAGGCCAGTATTACCCTTCTACAAAAACAAACAAACAAACAAACAAACCAATACATTAAAAAAGAAAACCACAGGGCAATATCTCTGTTCACTATTGATGCAAAAATCCTCAACAATGTACTAGCAGACAGAATTCCACAATATAATAAAAAGATTATTCATCATTAACTAGTGGTATTTATCCTCAGGATGTGAAGATGGTTCAATATGTGGAAATCAGTCAATGTGATAAAAATGATATCAACAGACTGATCAAAGACATATGATTATTTCAATTGATAATGAAAAATCATTTGATACAACTCAACACCCCTTCATGATACAAACCCTGAAAAACACATGTTATAGAAGGAACATACTTCAGCATTATAAAAGCCATGTAAGACAGATCTACAGCTAGTATCATACAGAATGGGGAAAAGCTGAAAACCTTCTAGCTATGATTTGGAACTCAACAAACAAAGATACCCACTTTTACCACTGCTTTTCAACATAGTACTCGAAGTTCTAGCTAGACCAATCAGACAAGAGAAAGAAAGAAAGAACATTCAAATTGGAAAAGAAGAAGTCAAATTATTGTTTCTTTCCGATGATATAATCTTATATTTAGAAACACCTATATAATCCATCAAAAACCTTACAACTGGTAATCAAATTCAATAAATTTGTAGGATTCAAAATCAACATTCAAAAATCAGTAACATTTCTACATGCCAAAAGTGAAAATCTGAGAAAGAATTTTAAAAAATAATAATCCCATTTACAATACCACACATAAAATGAAATACCTAGGAGTTAACTTCACCAAAGAAGTGAAAGTTCTCTATAACAAAAAAGGTTTTCACTGAGAAAAGAAATGTAAGAGGACACCAAAAAATGGAAATATATTCTATGTCCATAGATTAGAATAATCAATATTGTTAAAAATGTCACTACTACCCAAAACAATCTACAGATTCAATGCAATCTCTATCAAAACACCAAAATCATTCTGCACAGGTATATTTTTTAAAAACCCTAAAATTTATAGGAAACCAAAAAAGACCCAGAATAGACAAATCTATCCTAAGCCAAAAGAACAAAACTGGAGAAATCACATTACTTGACTTCAAATAATACTACAGAGGTATAGTAACCAAAACGGCATGATACTTGTGTAAAACAGACATGCCAAACAGTAGAACAGACTAGAGAACCCAGAAACAAATTCACACACCTATAGTTAACTCATTCTTGACAAAGATGCTGAGAACATACACTGGGGAAAGGCAGTCTCTTCAATAAACGGTGCTGTGGAAACTGGATATCCATATATAGACTGATGATACTAGACCCCTATCTGTCACAGCATACAAAAATGAAATCAAAAGACATTAAAGACTTAAATCTAAAAGCTACCTCACACTATAAATCTACTACAAGAAAACATTGGGAAATATATCCAGGACATCAGTCTGGGTGGAAATTTCTTGAGCAATATCCCACAAGCACAGGCAACCAAAGCAAAAATGCACAACAAATAGGATCACCTCAAGTTAAATACTTCTTCACAGCAAAGAAAACAACAAAGTGAAAAAAATCCCACAGAATGGGAGAAAATATTTGCAAACTACCCATCTGATAAGTGACTAATAACCAGAAAATATAAGAAGCTCAAACAACTGTATAGGTAGAAACCTAATAACCAAATTAAAATAATGGGTTAAAGATTTGAATATTTATTCTCAAAAGAAGACATACAAATGGAAAGCAGGCATATGAAAAGGTTTTCAACATCACTGATCATCAGAGAAGTGCAAATGAAAACTGCAATGAGATATCATCTCATCTCATTTAAAATGGCATATATTCAAAAGACAGGCAATAACAAATGCTGGCAGAGATGTGGAGAAAAGGAAACCCTTGTACACTGTAACACAGGCAAATTATATTACATTTGTTCCATAGAATACTGCTCAGCAATAAAAAAGTAGACTCATTATGCATGAAACACATTGGATTAATCTCCACAGAATTACACTCAGTGAAGAAAGACCAACCCCCCAAAATCACATATTGTTTAATTCCATTCATTAAACATAAAATAACTGATTTATAGAAATGAAGATTAAGTTAGTGCCTGCCAGACATTAAGAACAAGATAGGGGGTGAGGAGCAGCAGGAAAGTGGCTGTAATTAAAAAGGGCAACATGAGGGATCCTGCAGTAAGTGTTCTGATTCTTGACTGTGTTGGTGGATATGTGTGTGTGTGTGTGTGTGTGTGTGTGTACAGGTGTGTGTGTAAAATCCAGTCTGGGTTTTAGAAACTTTCTAATGGACTCTTTAAAAAAGAGACATGTCGTAAATATATGAATACAGAAATTTCAAAATTAGGCAATGGAAAGTATTTATCATGCAAACACTAAAACAAAATGAATAGACCTATAATATTAGACAAATGGGTTTAAAGCAAACAGTTTCACTAGAAAAAAGAAAGCTGTTACATGATATTAAATGAGTCAATTGATGAGGAATATATTATAATTAAATATATATGCAAATAAAAATCTTTTCAAAATAAATTTTAAGACTTCAAAAGAAAGTCAGAATCAGAATGAGAGACTTCATCATAACTCAATTGCTGACAGAATAATCTAGCATAAGAACATTAATAATAAGATAGAAGATCTGAACAATGTAATTAACAAATATGACCTATTTAAGATGTAAATATATATGTGTGTATGTGTGTAAACATTATATACATATACATACACACATGAATGAATTCTATCTATAAATCCTTATATAGGTATACCTACCTATGCCTATCTATATAGAGAGAAAATGTGTATGTTTGTATAAAAGCCATATAGAGACATATAGAGGCATATATATATGTATTTACACATATACACACAGACTATATATATATATATATATATATAAAGAGAGATGTATGTAGACATATATAGCCATGCATAGACATTTATAGATATAAATGTAGTTATGGATATATAGATATATATTTGGTTATCTACTGGATTACCTGAATAGATACATTTCTATAAACACATAATCTATCCAGATAGAACAAAAAAGATGTAGAAAGCTTGAACAAATTGATAACAAAGAGATAGAATATGTAATCAAACATTTTCTAACAAAAAAAAGCCAGCACTATAAGGCTTTAAAAAAGAATTCCACCAAACATTTAAGAAAGAATGAACATGAATTATTTTAAGCTCTCCCCTAAAAATAAAAGAGGGAACACTGAAAACTCACTTCATGAGGACTGCATCACTCTGATTCCAAAGCCAGACAAGGATGATATCAGAAAATAAAACTACAGAACAATATTTCTGATGAACATAGATGTGTTTATCCTAAGTAAAATACTTTCAAACCAAATTCAGCAGCACATTAAAGGGATCATATACTGTAACTAAGAGGGATTTATTCCTAGAATTAAAGGATGTTTCAACATACAAACATTAACCAATTCAATATATGACATTAGTAGAACAAAAGGCAAAAACCTCATAATTATCTCAAAAGATTAACAAAAGGCATTAAACAAAACGTAACATCCCTTCATGACAAAAAAAAAGTCAACACTATAGGTATAAAAGAAATATACCACAACACAATAAAGGCCATATGTGAAAAACCCACAGTTAACATCAAAATTCATGGAGAAAAAGTGAAATAGTTTCTTCTAAGATTCAGTACATGGCAAAGGTGTCCGCTCTTATCCCTGTTATTTAACATAGTATTAGGAGTTCTAACCAGAGCAATCAGGCAGGAAAAAGAAACAAAAACATCTACAGCAAAAGATTGGATGTAAAAATATCTTTGTTTGCAGATGATATGACTGTATAAGTAGAAAACACTAAAGACTCCATGGAAACCTGTTATAACTAATAAAAGAATTCAATACAATTATGGAATACAAAATCAAAATACAATAATCAGTTGCAATTCTATACACCAACAACAAACTATCCAAAAGGGAAATAAGAAACCTATCCTATTTGCATTAACAATAAAAATAACAAAAAATTAAGATACTTAAGAATTAACTAAAGAGGTAAAGACCTATACACTCAATATTATAAAACATAAATGAGGAAACTTTTAAAAGACAGAAATAAATAAAAATACATTCCATGTTAATATATTGGAAGTATTAATACTGTCATAATGTCCATACAAACCAAGGCAATCTACACACTCAATGCAATTTCTATCAGAATTCCAAAGGCATATTTTTCAAAAATAGAAAATAATTCTAAAATTCTAACAGAACCACAAAATCCCTGAATAGCTAAAGCAATCTTGAGCAAAAACAGAGCAGGAGATATCATGCTTTTTGACTTCATATTATATTACAATGCTGTAGTAAAGAAAACGATGTGGTACTGACATATAAACAGATATATAGATCAATAGAAGAAAAGAGAGAATGCTGAAATAAACCCACATATTTAGAACCAACTGTTCTCCCATCAGGGTGCTAAGAACACACGATGGAGAAAGGATAGTCTTTTTAGCAAACAGTGCTAGGAAAATTAGATATCCATACGCAAAACAATGAAACTGAGCCCCTATTACACAACATACATAAAAACAAACTCTAAGTAGATTAAAGACTTAAACATAAAACTTGAAACCATAAAAATCCTAGCAAAAAAAAACATGGAAAAAGCCCTTCCTGACATTTTTTTTTAGCAATAATATTTTGGATATTATACCAAAACACAGGCAACAAAAACACAAACAGACAAGTGGGATTATACCAAACTAAACAGCATCTTTGCAACAATGGAAACCATCAACAAAATGAAAAGGCAACTTACAGATTGAGAAAAAAATTGCAAATTATATATCTGATAAGGGATTAATATCCAAAATATGTAAAGCACACTTGCAATTCAATACCAAGAATACAAATAATCCAATTAATAAATGAACTAAAATCCACAAAACAGAAATTCACATGGCCAACATGTGTATGAAAAGGTGTTCATCTAATCATCAGGGAAATGCAAATCAAAACCACAATGAGATATCATCTCACACCTGTTATAAGAGTGACTATTAAAAAAAAAGATAAGTGTTGGCAAGGATGTGAAGAAAAGAAGCTCTTGTATATTATCTCACACCATACACAAAAATAAACTCAAAATACATGACAGGCATAAAGGTAAAGCTTAAAACTGCTAAGTGATACAGCCCAAATGGAAAACAGCATGGTAGTTCCTCAAAAAACTAAAAATAGAAATACCACTTTATCCAGCAATACCAATTCTGGGTATGTACTCAAATAATGGAAAACAGAATCATGAAGAGAGCCCTGAACTCCCCTTTTAATTGCAGCACTATTCACAATAGCCAAAATATGAAAACAGCCTAAATGTCCTTCAACAAATGAACACACACACACACGTGCGCGCACACACACACACACTATTCAGCCTTTATAAAAAAGAAAATCCTGCCATTTATTACAACATAGAAAGAGCTGGAGGACTCTCTACTAAGTGAAATAAACAAGACACAGAAAGAGAAACACTGCATGATCTCCCCTCTTTTTAAGATTTAAAAACTTCCTGAAGAAAAATATACTTACATGTATTAAATAATGATGAAATCAATTAAAAACCTGGAATAGTCTGTTAGAGATAATCAGTTAAAAATATTTGCTGCACATGTATTCCAGTACTTGAAGTATAATAAAAAAATATATTTACATAATGTGAATACAACACTGTGCAAATATGACTTTACAAGTAAATCTCCAGTTTCTGAGAAAAGATTATCCCAAATTCTTTTTGAATGTTTTTCTCTTCCTTCAGTTTCCAGATTGCTTTAGAAGCTTTTTTGTGTTGATTTTCAACATTGTCTTGGATCTCATTGAGTTTCCTCGCAATCTATGCTTTGAATTCTTTATCCGCCATTTCCAAGCTTTCCTTTTATTTACTGATTATTGCTAGAGAGCTAGTGTGATCCTTTGGTGGTGTCATTACATTCTGATTTTTTATGGTACCAAAATGTTTGCTCTGGTTACTTCTCATCTGGAGATGTTGGCATTTCTAATTTCTATAGTTACTTTTATTCAGGTAGGATTTTTTTTCTTTTTATTTCTTTCTCTAAATATTATTGGTTTCTTTTCTTTCCTTCTTTTTCCTATTGCTCCCCTCCCTAGTGTGTGTGACTGTAAGGAATGCTGGATAGGGTTTGTTGGTTTTGCTCCTACAGCCCTATGCTCTTCTTTCAGCAGGTTTTATATTGGGCTGTGCAGTTCAACGTACAATCCAGTAGGTAAAAACTTACAGGTAAGAGCTGCCTGTGACCCATGCAGCTGGGTATACACTTGATCCTTGTTTACTGTCTGTTGCCTAGGCAATGGGCTATTTTGCAAAATGCCCAGGAGTCTGACCTCCCTGCTTAACCCCAGGGTTGTGAGGTTACAATGGTTAGGGTCTATCTACAGGTCCCCTCATGGCAGGCACAAGCAACTGCACTGAGAAAGCATTCGCTGGATGACCACCAAACACTCAGAGGTGTGCCTAAGCCTGGAACTGGGGAATTTGCTCAGCCTCAAATTCTTTGCATAGGAATCAGGAGTGGAATAAACTCCTAATCCAGGAGTAAGCACACCAAATGCCTGGGGATCTGCCTGGGCATGTAGCAGAGAAGGCCCCCCTGCATGAGGATCTCTGAACAGGAAGGGTGAGGTGGCTCTGGCCACTAATCCAGGCAAGTTGGTGTTCCAAATGCTTGGAGATTTGCCCAGGCATGGGGCAAAGAGGGTGTCACTGCACCACAATCTATGTCCTAGAAGGGTCAGGTGGCTCAGTCTGCTGATCTAGATGAGGGATTGCTCAAAATTCCTGGAGATACTTTTGGGCCTGAAGCAGATAAGGACTTCTTGCACAAAGATCTCAGCACAGAAATTGCAGGTCAGGTCAGGCTGTAGATCCAAGTGAGTGGGTTCTCCAAATGCCTAGATACCTCCCTGGCCATAGAGCAGAGAGAGCCCCACTGTACCGTGATCTATGTCAGTGTAGGATAGGGCAACTCAGGCTGCAGTTGCAGAGAAGTGAATCCTCCAAATGCCTGGATTTCTGCCTGGGAGTGGAGCAGAGAGGGGCCCGCTGCACCAAGATCTCAGGGGAGCAGTCTGGGGCACACAGTTATGGGACACATAGATTGGTTCTAGGTCATCAAGGTGGCTTTGGCTGCAAGGTTCACAGCCCAGGAGAAATTGCAGCTATAGCAGCTCTCCTCCTGCCGCAGGTTTGAGATGGGGGAGAGCAAAATTCCATTGCTTACTGCTGAGGCACTTTCCACAGTTCTAGCTGTGAATGCCCTTACCCATCTCCAAAACGAGCACTCAAATTTCCAGCCTGAGACTGAAATGTTTGCATGGCCACACTGCCGGATCACCAAAGAATGGCTGACTTTGTTGCACCCAGATTAAAAATGGTGTTCTGCTCTCAGTCCCAGGTCTGGGAAAACGCCTGCAGCTTTTATTCATGTCTTTTCCTCACAGCATCTCCAAGCTTCTTCTCAGGTTAGCTCTTGTCTTGGGAGAAAAAAAAAATACTCTGCCTCGGCTTGGGTTGCCTCAGATCTCCAGTGTAAATGTGAGTCACAGAGAAAGACTCTCTTCCTCTCTCACATACTGTGGTTGCACTAAATTTTATCAGCCAGATGCCATCATAGGGGCTGTTTGCCAGTGTCCTCTGCTCTCCTGATCTGGGGTGTCCTTCATGACTCTGGTGGATTCACATTTTCCTTTTTGAATTGAAGCTCACAGAGTTGATCTTTACGCACTATCTTGCTATTTCCAAGCGGCCGAGGCATGGTATTTCCCACCGTCTTGTGGGAAAAACGTAGAAGACTCTGTTTTAAATGATATATTTGTAAATTTCTATTTTTCTAAAACTTTCTTATTATTATGTAGACATTTAGAGGGGTTTTGTTTTGTTATGCAGTTTGATCCCATTTCTGGCCTACTTTCCAAACTCTCAACATTTCTAATAATTTAATAATGAAGTACTTTCTAAATATAGACATTAATATCATGTGTGAATTATGAAAGTTTTTATATTTTTTGTATATGCATTGCATTAAAAAAATTACCAGATGGACCATAACAACCAGTATGATATTCAGTAAATGCAGTGATATGCACATTATTCTCTTGATGTAAATAGGATCTCACCTTTAATAGTCATGCTTATTATACATTTTGATTAGGCAACATATTGTCTGGTTTAAATGTTTTATTATATTCATAAATTTCCAAAAGATTTTGACATGAATTAATATTAAATTTAGCCAATGCATTTAAAAAAACTATTTAGGTAATTCTGTGAGATTTCTCCTGCAATCTGTTAGCAATAACATTTAAAGTTTTTATAATGCTAAATTACCTTTGGGTTCTTAGTGCTAATTTGACTATGACATACATTCATACAAACATATACATACATATATATGTGTTTGTTTGTATTTATGTAATTGTTTTTTTGCATTTTTTGTAATTATTGTATCTATGTTCATGAGGTAAATTTACATTGAATAACAATTTTCTTTCCCTTGTGCCATCTTTCTTCATTGAATATCAAAATTATACTGGTCTTACAGAAAAAAATAAGGGACTATTTCCTCATTCTATACACTTTATGATTTATTTTATAAATTTGGGATAATCTTTTCTCAGAAACTGGAGATTTAGGATAGATAGAAAGATTAAAAATTAATGATGTAACATCACACTTAGAGGAATTAGAAAAACAAGAACAAACTAACCCCAAAGCTTACAGAAGAAAATAAATAAATAAAATCAGATTAAAACTCAATGAAATTAAGACCCAAAAATTCATATAAAGAATCAACAAAAACAAAACAAAATTAGTTTCTTGAATGAATAAACAAGATTGATACAGTACTAGCTAGATTAATAAAGAAAAAAAGAGAAGATCTAAATAACTACAATCGGGAACAAAAAATGTGACATTGTGACTGATTTCACAGAAATAGAAAAGATCCTCAGAGATAATTATGAACACTTCTATGCCCATTATCTTGAAAATCCAGAGAAAACTGATAAGTTTCTGGAAACAATCTCCCAAGATTTAATAAAGAAGAAATTAAAATCCCAAACAGATCAATATCAAATTCCAAAATTACATCAGTAATAAAAAACACACCAATTAAAACAAGCCCCAGACCAAATGGATTCACAGTCAAATTCTACCAGATGTACAAAGAAGAGCTGGTATGAATCATAATAAAACTATTCCAATCGATGGAGGAGGGACTCCTTTCTAACTCATTCTACAAAGCCAGCATCATACTGATTCCAAAACTTGGCAAGGAAAGCATGAAACAAAAACCCTACAGGCCAATATCTCTCATGAACATAGATGCAAAAATCCTCCACAAAGTTCAACTATATTAAATTGATATGGATTAAATTATGAATTTAAATTACCAAAATCTGGTGAAGATTATAAAAAAGAAAATGAGAGCTCAACTTTACATACTAATACTTATGATATAAATTTTAAAAAGTTAGTAAAGTTCACCAGTATGATAAAGAATAATATAATAAAGCATAGAAAGTAGGGGTGATTTATATCATGTTAGAAAATTCAATTTTTTTAGAAATTTAAATTTATATAATTTGTTTTATTTAATAGGGTAGATTTAAAATGTCTTCTACATACCTTCAGAAATATAAATGTTATTTGGTAAAATCCAACAACCATCTCTAATTGTGAGAATGGAAGGTTATATGAAATAAGAATTAAGATATATTTAAAAAATATTTTTAAAGAGACGGTCTTGCTCTGTCACCCAGGCTGAAGTATAGTGTTATAATTATAGTTCACTGCAGCCTCAAACTCCTGATCTAACTCTGACTCCTGAGTAGCTAGGACTGCAGGCATGCACCACCTCACCGAGCTAATTTTTTAGTAATGTTTTTGTAGAAATGGGGTCTTGCTATAATGCTCAGGCTGGGCTTGAACTCCAAGCCTGAAGCGATCTTCCCACCTTGACTTCCAAAAGCATTGGGATTATAAGTGTAAGCCACTGTGCTCAGCCTGAAGAGTAAAGATGTGTATCTCAAAACACATGATTCAAGATATATATCTTAAATCATGATTAAAAGTGAAATGTTATGCTCAACCTTATTGAAGTTAAGAATAATACAAAGAGCAAGCTATTTTTGCTACTATTTAACTTTTTACTGGATATGCTCGCTGTTTCAGTATAGCTAGGAAATTACATGAGAGATATAAATATTGGTGAGAAGAGGGCAATATTACCAGTACTTGCAGAGGAAATTATTATATTCCTGAAAAACTAAAGAATCAACTAAAAAACAATTCGAGATTATCATTATTCCATAGTCTTTGCTCATCATAGAATTAATGTACAAAATAATAAATATTATGTTCTATAATATGCAACCTATATACAAATAATAAGAAATATAAAATATAATGGAAGAAAATTTATTATTTTTTGTAGCAAAACCACAGAAAACACTGAGGAATAAACTTAACACAAAAGACAAAATTCCTATATGAAGCTCTAAAACTCTACTGAAAGACATAAATAATTTGACTAGAGATAAATTATTTGCTTTGAAAAGGAGTTTTAAATAGTACAAAAATATCAGTTTTCTCTGAATTGATCTAAAAGTGTATGTAATACCAGTTAAAAATAAAATTTGATTTTTCTTATTTCTGAAAGATGGCAAATTATTCTACAGCTCATCTTAAAGAAAAACATGTAATGATAGCCAAGATCATTTTAGAAAATGAACGACGGGGAAAATTTTGGTTTTATAAATATAAGTATATATTATTTATTTAACTATATATTCAAAAGAATACATAAAATATATGGTACATATAATAAAATATATATGATGCTATACAATACATATATAATATAACATATATATAGATATATACACACACACACAATACTTAAATCAAATCTCCAGTTCTACAATGTATCCTTCTTTATTTTGCTGCACATTTTTGAAGGCTTAACTGTATGGACTACTTTAGTGGACCTCCCATCCTTCCGGCTTCTAGTGGAGTTTGATGAATGGAAGGCTCTGACAAAAAAAATCGGAAGGTGGGAGAAAAAAGAGTTACTTATTCCTCTGCTTTCTTCTCCATTGCTTTATGGCAGATAGTTTTGTTCCTCTATCAGAGACCACAAATCCTAGCAGTCTCTCTCTCTCTCTTTCTCACTCTCGCGCACCTCTCATTAGTTTGTTTTTGTTTTTTGGCTTTTTAAAATTTTTAATTCTGTAAATGCTCTTTGACTTACCTTTTCATTCTTAATGGTGGTAATCACTTCCCTCTTGGTTTCTCCAAACTGTATTCATATTTTTGAAATTAGTTTTAATATTAAATTTCTGAGAAACTAGTTTAAGTGTAATGTCAGATTTCTGAGATCCTTACCGATACAGTAATTTACCCCAAAAGTGGTCCCATAAAACAGATTCTCAAAATGAGATTCTGGGATTGGTTTGCTCACATATTTGAGGACCCCCCCCCCCCCCCCCGCAAAGACAATCTCCTTAAACAGAAATAAATTGGACAGTAAGTGACTCTTTGACCATTCTGGACTTTGACTTACCTGATTTAAAAACCATACAATTGGATGTGTACAGTAGCATAACTTTACACAATTGATATGGTATATATGAGACCTTGTTAGTGCAGGTCTGAATGCACAAGTAAACCAGGTAGGAGGCTCAGACTCTTAGAGTACCTACCCCTGTTACTTTGCTACCTGACCCATGGCTCATACCAACTACCTTGTGGGGAGATTCCCTTTTACCAAATAATGAAAGAACAAAAGAGTAAAGTTCTAGTTGATAGGTAGATTTTCATGACAAACCAGCCCCATTGATGGCCACTGCACTATGGTCCTATTAAGATGTGGTCTCGAAAGATAGTATTGAAGGGAAATTCTCTCAGTGAGCAGAAATTAGATATGTAGTTTGCATGGAGGGAAAGATTATCTCAGATATGGATCTACAGTGATTTATAGGCAGTGACCAATGATTTGCTAATCAGGTTAATCAGGGACTAAAAAGGATAAGATTTGAAGAGCAATGACAAGAGGGTGAGGTATTCGATGGATCTCTCAGAATAGGCACATAGTATGATTATATTTATGAGCCGTATAACTGTCCACCTGAAGAAATCTACTGTGGCACATGATCTTTAATCAAGTGGACAAGGTGACCTATTCTGAATGTCAGTTAGTCTCTTTCCTTGGTCACCCTGGCAATTATCCAATGAGATTATGAAACAAGTGTCTATGGTGGCAGGAATAGAGGCTATGTATGGGCTCCAAAACTTGGACGTTTTTTCACCAAGGCCAAAAAAAAGTAATAATTTCTATTCATTAATAAGGAAATTAGAACAATGGTATGATAATCATTAAAAAAATGAAAAGAAAATGTTTAAGAAATTTGACGAAACCCAGGCTTGTTGAGGACATAAAATAAGGAACAATCTCAGATGCTATAGTGCAATTAGGGAAGAGGATTTGTTTACAATAGGAATCCATATGTAAAATGCTTATTCCTTTTGATATATTAAAAAACTCACTTTTAAAAGGTTACACTAAGGGAATAATTGCACATATTCAAAATTATGTACACATAAGGATTCATCTTATGATGTTTTTAATAATATAGAAAAGTTGAAAAATCATCTAAATATCCCTTGATAGAAACTGACTAAAGGAATTCTGGTGCTTACATAATATATAGCTATTAAAAAATATTAAATATAGTACTATTTCCTGAAAAATGTACTAATCATATTGTTGACTAAAGAAAAACACTTTATAGAACACCAATTCTCTTATTTATGTAAACTTCTATTCAGGACTTTTCTGCAAAAAAGGCAAGGTTTCTGGTAATTTTTATTTTTTTCTTATAATATTCCTGGCATTTTGAATTTTATGATGAACAGACATTATTTTTTACAAAGCATCCAAGATATTTTTAAAGGAAGTAAAGATTGTTTTTAAAAATTTGCTTTTTAAAAATGTGTCATACAGTCTTACTGGATTCGTACTTAGTTAGTAGGAACACATATACAATGCTTTCCACCCTGCTGCAAATTATATTATTTACTTCCGATTATTCCAATGGCAAAAATTTTTAAAGACATCTCTACCTCTGAGTCATTATTATTCATTTCATTAAAATTGTTGCTTATTTATGTGTTTTTTATTGCTATAAATATATTTGCAAAGCAGTTATGTGTTTTCCCAGCTAAGTTTCTAGGGAAGAGGTCAATTTAAGTGATACTATTCTGTTTGAAGGCAATCTTTTAAAATTGTTTTAGACCTTCTAAAATGACTGATTTGGTATGATTTCTGTTATATCAGACCTTACGTAGTATACTGAAATGCCAGGGGTTTGGTATAGGTCCTTTTGCTCACCACACAGAAAGTGAATCACTGAGACAACAATTACTGCCAGGAAGAAGGCTTTTAATTCAGGTGACGTCAGCAGGAGTGATGGTAGCCAAACTTCAAATCTGTCTCCTTAGCTAAGTAAAATTGGGGGTTTAGATAGTGGTGGAGGGAATCTAACTACGTATGTGTGTGGGGGAAGTAAATTAGGGACAAGAAAGGAAGCATTCATGATGAATGAGGGGTCTGGTGTCTCATTGTCTGGATATGGTAATCTGATGAATTTTAGTTCCTTGCCTGAGGGTTGGTTTCCTGAGGAAAGAATTCAGATAAAGTAAATGTTTCAAGTTTTAAGACTAGGGAGTATCAATTTCCATGTTTACTTAAAAAATCATTATATCATTTCTATGGGGACATCAGGCTGGTTTCACTTAGGGATTTTAAATTTACTGTATTTACCATATCTGGTTTTGTTGTTACTGTTAATTATAGTGTAAAAATAAGCCTGTGATTTTTACACTTCAGTGTAAATAATAATTAACTGGGAGATTATTAAAAATAAAGATCCTTGGCTCTATCCCAGAGATTCTGATTCAGGTACAAATTATCTATGTATTGAGTAAAGATCACTGGACATATTTGAGAATAGGAATGAGATCATGCCTCTCATTCTTGTACTTTTTAGCATGCCTAGAGGAAGTTATTACTCTCTATAACAAGGCTAGTAAGGTTTTCCCAAATCTTGAGTTGGGTGACCAGTGTTTACTTTTGTCATTATGGCTGGGTTTTATGTATCTCTCAGAAAACCAATTATAAACGTGCTAAAAAAATAATAACCCAAAAGTCTATATAACAGATATTGGTTAATGAATTGTTATAATTATTTTGCCATTGACATGAATGATTCCGTTGTCACATATTTTCTAAAATGTATAATATCTGTTTTGTTTATATAGCTGTCATAACTCTATTTTATGAGCCAAGAATACTTATTCTCAAACTTGGATGCATATTGGTATCACCTAGTGAGTTTAAAACAAATTACTAATATCTTGGTCCTAGAAAGAGATTTTGATTTGTCAGGGCGAGGTCTGACATCAAGGTTTTTAAAAGATTTTCAGGTAATGTTAATGTGCAGCCAAGGTTAAGAATCACTCTTCTGCAAGACAGGAAAAATAAAAATCCAGAATTGCCACAACCTGGGCTGAGAAGGCTTTTATTTAATTACTTATAGTACTAGACTTCTATTCAGTAAATCTACTTTATGCATTGCTATGTGTTCATCTCTCAAATCCTGCTCCTCTGATGTTTTTTATTCAAAATAGTTACCATTTCAAAGGCCATTGACTCAATCCATACTTTAGAATATAAGTTTCTCGAGGATGCAAAGGTTGCCTTATTTCTATATACTATGGATAGGTCTTAGGTCTTAGCTAGGACTCTGACCTTGCTGTGTCCTGTGGGCACTTCACAAGTGCTATAAATAAAGATGAAACCCTTCTCCTTGAGCTGAGGACAATCAACAGGAATCTGACTTTTCCCCAGGGACTACAACTGAATGTAGTTTGAAAGAAAAAGAAAAAGGTTCAACTGTGGATCAAAGCTCTGTCAGGAAAGAGGAAGACTGATGATTAGCTCTTTAGTGTCATATTTGTGCTGGGAAGTTAACCTCTCTTAAGAACCAAACACTGTTTGAGACAGGATTGTGTTCTGGAAGAACTCCAACTAACAACAACCCTTCATCTTTTGCACTTTAAAGAACTCAATACATTTTGTATTCTGTATGTATTTTTAAGGCTGACTGCAGGGAGTCAAATTCAGTGTTCAAAAACAGGATTCTACTTAAGTTCTGAAAACCCCTGCTGCAAGAACCATCTTTCTCTTCTTTGCTTCATTTTCCTTTTTACCTAGATCAGCAGAAAACTCATATTGCTTTTCCTCTCATTCAACTCTGAATATCTTTGTTTCTAATATAACAAGAGCTAATAAGTACTAAGTTATCAGAGCAGTCATTAAGAAGAAAACGCCTACAATTCATATTATTTGAAAGACATCTAAATGTTGAAAAGAGCAAAATATTATTGAAAGGGAAAATTGATGCATAGCATGACAAAGGAATAATGTGTTCAACTTAATCAAATATTTGTGAAATATTTATCTCTCATATATCCATATGGATATATACACACATATGTACGTAAAATATTTAATTCATTCTTTCTTTCCTTTATTAACTCTTTATGAAGCCCTTATCATTTGCCAAGTAATTTTCTAGTGAAGAGTGGGATGCATTTGCAAATGAAATGGTTCTCTTTTCTAGAGAGCTTATATTCATGTAAAAAAAACAGAAAATAAATAATATTTGAGTATAAAAGAGTTCACTAAAGATGTGTGGGTTGGATACAAAAATTTGAACATTGTCAGCATATAGATGTTATATAAATGCATGATGCGAAATTGCATTCTCAAGAATATTACTGGGTGTAGAAAAGAAAAGGCCACAGGCTAAGCACGTTGGCACTCAGGAGCTAGGCAGAAATCAGCAAAGAAAGCTGACAAGAACCAACAATGAGGTAAGAGGAAGATGAAGAGATGATAGTGTTTTGGAAGTCAAATGAAGAAAGTGTAAGAAATGTGTTGAATGGTGCAAATAATTTGGTAGGATGAGGACTGAAGTCTAGCCATTGGATTGGGCAATGTTGAGATAATTTGGGATCTTCACAAAAGAAATGTCAGTGAAGTGGTTGGGATAAAAGACTGAATAGACTGGGTTTAAGAGAAAATCATAGGAACCAAAATGAAGAAAGTGATTATATACAACTATTTTAAAATAAATCTCGCAAAAATACTATGAGCATGTATTGATACGTATTAGGTTAGTCAGAAAGTTATTTGGGGTTTTACACTTTTTAAGGATGATAATTAGAAATGCTGAACAAACATAGTAAAGAAAACATTTGCTCGTTTTAAAATTAGGTTTAAAATTCCATTTTAATGAAGATATTTATTATGGCATGTTAAAATTATGAACCACAATTTAGCTTTCTATGAAGCCTAGATATCAAAAGAAATTTTATAGAGTACATTAAAGAAATTATTGGGGCTTACAGGATTTATTCCATTTTGGAAATATATTGAGTACTTTCTATTGACATAGTTTGTCAATAATTTTATGTAATTACTTTGTATAACAAGAAAGCCTACTGGAACTTATTTCCAAAGGGAAAACATAGTGACTCTCTAAATTTAAATAACCTTTTCTTCTAAAATAGTATTTTAAAAACAATATATGCAGGATGAAACTTTTCAGAATAATTTATTCAGATCAATCAGAAAGAAAAATGTATCTTGGGAGGCTGACACAGGAGGATCACAAAGTCAAGAGATGGAGACCATCTTGGCCAACATGGTGAAAACCCGTCTCTACTAAAAATACAAAAATTAGCTGGGCATGGTGGCACGTGCCTGTAGTCCCAGCTACTCTGGAGGCTGAGGCAGGAAAATCACATGAATCCAGTAGGGAGAGGTTGCAGTGAGCCGAGATCGCGCCACTGCACACCAGCCTGGTGACAGAGTGAGACTCCATCTCAATAAAATTTTTAAAAAGTATCAATATTACTGCTCAAACTGAAGCTATGATTAGTATCTAACTAGTATAGCTCTTCACCTTCAGATTAACATGACTGTGTATAAGCCCTTCGACACATTATTGTTTCAGAAATGAGCAAAGATCCTGAAAATAGGATTAAAAAGAGTCTTGAAGGCCTTTAAGAACACTGAATGGAAGTTAAGCATAATGTCTTAGTATGCACTGGTTCATAGTCTACTCATGTGTTGCTTTTAAAATAGATGAAAGGGCACTACCAGCCGTTCCCAAACTGATACAACTAACTTTAGAACAAAGAAATATATGATTGCCATGGACTGAATGTGTTTCCTCAAAATTTATATGTTGAAAAGTAACCCCCTTATGTTGTGTTTAGAAGGTGGGGCCTTTGGGGAGGTAATTCAGACATGAGGGTGAGACACTCATGAATGGGATTAGAGTCCTTATAACAGGCTGAAGAGGCTATCGTTGTCCCCTTCCACCATAAAGGGACACTGTTAGAAGGCATCAAATATGAACCAGAAAATAGCTTTTACCAGAAACCAAATCTGCCAGCACCATGATCTTGGATTTTCCAGGCTCCAGTATTGTGAAAAATAAATTTCTGTTGTTATAAGCCACCCAGTTGTGGTATTTTGTTATAGTGGCTTCAACATCCTATGGTAAGACAGAAAAATGAAATTGGCTTAAAGGTATTGCCCACCACTGTTATATGAGACACTATAGAGCAGTGTTCAAAAGCACAGGTTTGGGCTGGGCGTGGTGGCTCATGCCTGAAATCCCAGCACTCTGGGAGGCCGAGGCGGGTGTATCACGAGGTCAGGAGTTCGGGACCAACCAGGCCAATAGGGTGAAACCCTGTCTCTACTAAAAATACAAAACAATTAGCTGAGCATGGTGGCACGCGCCTGTAGTCCCAACTACTCTGGAGGCTGAGGCAGGAAAATCGCTTGAACCCAGGAGGTGGAGATTGCAGTGAGCCGAGGTCTCACCAGTGACTCTAGCCTGGGCGACAGAGCAAGATTCCATCTCAAAAAAAAAAAAAAAAAAAAGCACAGGCTCTGTAGCCAGACTGAATAGTACTGAAAACTGGCTCTGTCATTTGAAGATTAAGTATGGAGAAATACAAAGATAAATAGAATCTAGTTGCTGCCTTTAAGATATTTGAAAGTGGTTGAAGACATAATAATTCTATGGAAGGATTAGGATTATTCACAGTATAGTGTTTGGGACATGATGGGGAATGTCTGTTTTTTAGGGAAAGTTCACTAGCTTAATAAATATTTTTTAAAATATATGAAATAACTAAATTAATAATACAAGTTGGTTAGATCAGATATGCTCCTATTATATTTTCAAGAGGTTTTAAATTTATAACTTATTACACATAAAAGAGTTCGTTCTCTCTAAACTCAGTACCCCACAATTATTCGCTCCATACAATATTTTTCTGCCGTGTAGAAAATTAAAACTACAATTGAACAATTCATATTCTTACGAACTCACCTAGAGCTATGCCCTTGGAAAACTTTGCACCCTTCAAAGGGTATGTTTGGAGTTGAAGAAAGTTAGAAAGAAAGACAATATGTGATGCTGCTGACATATTTTTCCTGAGTTCTTTTGAAACCAATCTCATAATCTTATAGACAGTTTTTTTTAATAAAAATAGAAATTTGCTCTTCTAGCCTTAAAGCTTATAACTTACATTTGCCTTATCTGAGATCCTTCCTCAGGAAACAATCCTTAGGCCTCTCAAAAAGCATCAAAGAACTAAAACTCACCAGATCACCACACTCAAGACAATGAGATGCCAGACTCATTCATCATGATTGCTTCCCCCTCCCTAAATGCTGTTTTCCTAACTGACCACTGCTTCTTGTTGACCAACTCCTCTTTCTTATTTTTGTTTTTTATTTTTTTTTTGAGATGGAGTCTCACTCTGTCACCCAGGCTGGAGTGCAGTGGTGCTATCTCGACTCACTGCAAGCTCTGCCTCTTGGGTTCAGGCCATTCTCCTGTCTCAACCTCCCGACTAGCTGGGACTATGGAGCCCGCCACCACACCTGGCTAATTTTTTGTATTTATTTTTAGTACAGACAGGGTTTCACCATGTTAGCCAGGATGGTCTCGATCTCCTGACCTCGTGATCCGCCCGCCTCGGCCTCCCAAAGTGCTGGGATTATAGGCATGAGCCACGACTTTCATTTTTTCTTCCACAAACGCACCATTATTAATTTTCACCACTATGAATACTGAAAATCGTAATACTTTCCTTGGTTATTCTAGAGTCAATTGTATAACTGTTATTTTAGAGGTGTGGGAAAGGCCAAGCACAACAGGGAATTAATACTATTGAATTAACAATGTATCTCCAAGCTTATAACTGACATTGTCAATAACAATTTGCACAAGGAAAGAGCATGCCTGTAGCAAGCCCGAAACACAAAGTACATTTCATATACAATAGGTAGCATGGTATTGCCAACACATTTATTTCAGTCTTGTCAGACCCTGAGCAGAGAATGCAGTCATTTGTGTTTGAAATTCTGACCTGCTGAACTAGAACTTCATTTTTTTCAAGCTATTATATTTTTGGTAGTTAAACAGCAATAGGAAACTAATACAATGGCTAACTCAGAAAAGTTATCAGGATACTTGATAAAAAGGTATTTTTAAAATAATATATAGAAGAAAAATATATTCCTTTTCCGTTTTCATTTTTTTTTTCTGAGTTTTTTTCAGTTTAGATAGACTATGCCTTTGAAGAAATCAGAAAAATAAAGAAAACCAGACATTCTCCTTTTGAGGAAAAATTATCTGTACATTCTCGAAACCCGGGCCACCATAAAACGTGACAGTTGATTTTGTCAGCTCATTTGACAACTTACTGCCATAATCCTTCTTTGTTAAATTGATAGCCTGTCTAGAAAAAAAAAAAAAAAAGAAAGAAAGAAAAGCCATTTCAGAGAGTGCCTCTAGGTCAGACGTATATGCTGTAGTTTCCTAACCTCCTGCCAAATTTTTTAACTTTTCAGAGCTCCTGAAAAACAGGATATGTCAGGTTTAAAATAAGCACTTCTTGGCCTTTTGTCCCAGAATAAAACTCATAAGCTAACCTCAGTTTGCTTATACAACCTCTAAATCTAAATTTAATCATCCCTATGGAATTAATTTAGGCCCTCCTTAGTCAAAAGAAAAAATCAGATGGCTCTCTGACTTATGTCCTTTAGTTGGCTCAAGTGTCAGGGGCATAATTGGATTTTTAAAAGCACCTATCTTCCAGCATGTACTGTGTTGTGACCATATTTAATAAATTATGATAAAATAAACTCTTCTAAAGTCTGTACAGTACTGGATATGGGAAAATGGCAAGAGGAAGGAGTTGAAGGAAAATTTATTTTGCTTTCATACATGGAATTTCCTAAGTGAAAAACTTGAAAGTTTTCTTAATTATCCTTAATAGCTATATTAGCAAGCTGTGCCTGAAAATACTTAATTTTAATGAAGAATATCTGTTTTGTATGAAAATAAAACTGTTCTGTTTAGTGACTATCCATGCTTCAAACTAGTTAGTATTAGGTTAGGCAATTAAACTGCCAATCTCAAGTTGAAATATAGACATTCCCGTTACAAGAATCAAGGAGTATTCTGCCAAGGAAGGAGACGTGATCACTTGAATGTGTTGATCACAGATCAACTCCTGTGTTGAGTTGTCTGCCTTATTATGCAGACGCTGGGGAAAGCAGTAGAATTGACAAGCTGAAAAAACGTTATTCTTTAAAGCGGGCAAATGTAAGACAAATGAACTAATTTTTGTCTAACTCTGTGTGTAAAACCCTAGAGACTAAATGATTTGCCAAATATCTAGTAAACTCTTATTATTACCTAGCACTCAAAGATAAAACGGCTTTGACTCAATATGCAGAATTAGCCGTCTTTCTGCATCTTTGTATTCTTTCTAGCCTTTTGCTAGAAAGTTTATTGCTTTTCCTTTTACTCTTCGGCAGTTATTATGACTTGGAGTCAATTCTAGAAGACCCAAAATGAAATTAGTTCGAGATTTTACTAAGGTAATTCTTTCTAAGGCAGACTTCCAGTGAGTTGAGTTCTAAAGTACAAGATAAATCTCAGGTCTATCTAACAGATTTCAACCTTTTCATTCTCCATTACCTCACTTTGAGTCAGTGGCATCACAGGCACTATAGGCACTTAAGGAATCATTTTTCTTTTTCAGGAACTAATCAAGTCTTACCCTCCTGCACCCCCAACCCCAACACTTATCAATGTAGGCAAAAGAACACGGAGGAGTAGGAATGGGAAAAACAGAAAAACTATTTTTTATGTAATTAAAACATTCTCATAAATTCCAAGTTACATCTCAGGAAATTTGTTTCAGTGTTTGTACACAACAACCTAGCTGTTCTTTGGTTCATCTGGCTTAACTTTCCTCGACAGCAGCAAAAACAAAAGCTTTCTGGAGAAAAGTTTATTGCAATGCTTGAGTCAATTATCTGTAGTATTCAAGAGCTCTCCTCTGTTTTTAAAAGCATCTCTACCTATTAAGAGCCCTGAGATTCAGTTCCCAGAAGTAATTCTATACTATTTCTCCCTGGGTTACATCCCATATATACCTTGAAAACCTACTTTAGTCCCACTCAAACTTCAAAGCCTTGCCTATTAATGAGAGGTGAAGCCAGCCGGACTTCCTGGGTCGAGTGGGGACTTGGAGAACTTTTCTGTCTTACAAGAGAATCGCAAAATGCAGCAATCAGTGCTCTGTAAAACACACCAATCAGCACTCTGTAGCTAGCAGAAGGATTGTAAAATGCACAAATCAGCGCTCTGTAAAAACGCACCAATCAGCGCTCTGTAAAAACGCACCAATCAGCACTCTGTAGCTAGCAACAGGATTGTAAAATACACCAATCAGTGCTCTGTAAAATGCACCAGTCAGTGCTCTGTAAAATGCACCAATCAGCAGGATCCTAAAAGTAGCCAATCACAGGGAGGATTGAAAAAAGAGCATTCTGATAGGATAGAAACGGAACATGGGAGGGGACAAATAAGGGAATAAAAACTGGCCACCCCGGCCAGCAGTGGCAACCCACTCGGGTCCCCTTACACACTGTGGAAACTTTGTTCTTTTGTTTTTCACAATAAATCTTGCTGCTGCTCACTCTTTGGGTCTGTGCCACCTTTAAGAGCTGTAACACTCACCGCGAAGGTCTGCGGCTTCATTCTTGAAGTCAGGGAGACCACAAACCCACCAGCAGGAACCAACTCCAGACACATTAATTTCATAATTTTTTTATAATTCTAATTTTCAATCTTTTTTTTCTGTTTCTCAATTTTGTTTTTACTATAGATCCCTGGCAAGGCCTAAGAAATATACTCTTTATTGATCAGCATTTGCCCTGGAGAGCCAATGTACAGCTCGTCTCTTATTCTGCTTGCTGATTAACATAAGTTGCACATAATTGGAATAATGATACTTCGTTGTTCATAAGAGTTTCTCATCATTGCTGTGTATGTGACTTTTAAAATTTTACATTTATGCATGAATATATGTATGTATGTGTGGATGCATTGATCTATCTGTATCTATTGATCTATCGATCTATTGTCTCTCTATAATATACATGTGTGTGTGTGGGGAGAGAAAGAGATCTATAAATATAAAAACCTGTGAATACACTACAAACATGAGATGTATATTACTAACAATATCTCCTATGTACTCATATACATTCTTTGACAGTTCTTGTAGTTTACCCAAAAGAAAGTGACCACTTTTTGAAATCTCATATTTGTCATTTCACCATTCCCTTGCATATATCCATGCTTCTCTCTCTCTCTCTATCTATCACCTGTATCTATATCTGCATCATCTATCTCTCTATATCTTTTTTATAAAATACACTAGTTTCTTTTTCTCCAGTCATTCTGGCCTTCATTTTTTTTTTTTTTTTTTTTTTTGAGATGGAGTCTCACTCTTTCACCCAGCACCCAGGCTGGAGTGCAATGGCGAGATCACACCTCATTGCAACCTCTGCCTCCCAGGTTCAAGTGATTCTCCTGCCTCAGCCTCCTGAATAGCTGGGATTACAGGCATGCACCACCATGCCCGGCTAATTTTTGTATTTTTAGTAGAGACAGGGTTTCACCTTGTTGGTCAGGCTGGTCTCCACCTCCTGACCTCATGATCCTTCTACTTCAGCTTCCCAAAGTGCTGGGATAACAGGCATGAGCCACCCGCACCTGGCCGCTTCATCTTATTTCAATATGGTAAATTTGTAACAATTAATAAACCCATATTAATATATTGTTACTTTATTAAGATTTTTTAAGTTTCTCCTAATGTCTTTTTTTTTTCAGTTCCAGAATCCCGTCCTGAATACCACATTACATGTAGTTATTATGATTCCTGAAGCTTTTTTTAACTATGGCCATTTCCAAAACTTTTCTTCTTTTTAATAAACATGACAGTTTTGAGGAGTGCTAGTCAGGCATTTTATAGAAAGTCTCTCAATTTGTCTAATGTCTTTCTCATCATTAGACAGAATAATGTGGTTTTACAAGGAAGATTACAGAGAAAATGTGCCATTTTATGTATCATATCAAAGGAACATACTATCAACCTGGTTTATGACTTTTGATGTTCACATTGATTACCTGGTTGAAATAGTGTTTGTTAGGCTTCTGCACTTTAGAGTCACTCTTTTTCCCACTTTCTATACTCTTTAAAAAGAAGCTGATATGCAGAGCCCACCCGTAAATAATGAGGAGTTATGTTATCCCCCTTTAGGATGGATTATCTACATACTTTATTTGTACTTTGTCCGTGTGAAAAATTTGTGTCTTCACACCCATTTATTAATTTATTCAATCATTTATTTATGTTAGTTTTTGGACTCATGAAGATTTATACTTTAAGTTACAATTTGGTACTACTTTATTCATTGTGTTGTTCAAATTGTTCCAGCATTGGCCATTGGGAACTCTTTCAATGGGCGCTTCTGTTTTTTGATATACCCCCATCTCTATGTAACTGAGCACTTTTTTTTTTAACTTTCTGGCCTTGAAAAATGTTCCAGACTCATTTTGTATATTTTCTGCCCCAGTCCTAAAATCAGCCAATTCTCAGAGAAACTCTGGTTCTTTTATTGGAGGATGGTATTAGAAATCGAGATTTGGGAAATTAAGTATGTATTTTGCTTCCGAGATATTGCTTCTCTTAGGCCCTCTCAGCTAATGGGGAAAAGAAATATATCTGTGCATACTAACCTGTGTAAATACACATATCTATAAATACTTATATGTGTTACCATCTGGATCTATATTCATATACATATATATATATATGTGTGTGTGTGTGTGTGTGTGTTGAAATTTAATTGTCATTGTGATGGTGTTGGGTGATGGGGCCTTAACAAAGTGATAGGCTATGAGGGCTCCATCCTCATAAATGGATTAGTATCACTACCAGAGGACTAGGTTAGTTATTGTGGGAGTTGATTTATGATAAAAAGGATCAATTCAGCTCACGTCTCTCTATATATCAAGTGTTTACTTCTGCCTTCCATCCTTGCACTGGGACATTACCCTCACCAGATGCTGGTGCCATGCTCTTAAACTTCCTAGCCTTTGGAGCCATGAGCCAAATAGACTTTTCTTTTTTGTTTGAAGAATTACCCAGTCTGTACTAGTCAGCTATAGCACCAGAAGTGGACTAAGACATCTGAGAATGTCTTAATTTCTCCCTCATTTTTCAAAAGACAGTTTTGCTGGATATAAAAACTATTGGTTAACAATTTTCTATTTTCACCACTTTAAATATATCATTCTACTGCCTTTTTCCCTCCAAAGTTTCTGTTATGATATCCACTGTTAATCTTATTGAGAATCCCTTGTATATAGTGGGTTACATGAGTTTCTCTTGCTGGTTTCAAGATTCTCTTTTGGCTTTTGAATATTTGATTGTTCAGTGTCGGTCTTCTTGGGAGCTTCTTGGATTTATAGATTCATGTATTTTCTCAAATTTAGAGAGTTTTCAACCATTAATTCTTCAAAATACTCTCTCTACCCCTTTATTTATCTGTCTTTTCCTTCTGAGACTCATGTGATCTGTAGAGTGGTCCTTTTAATGAAGTCCCTTAAGTTTTTTAGTTTATGTTTACCCTTCTTTATTCTTTTTTTTTCTTTTTGCTTCTCACACTCAATTATTTCAAACAACTAGTCAAGTTGTTGATTCTTCCCTCTGCTTACTTGTATCTACTGTTGAATCCCTTTTGTGAATGTTTCAATTCAGTTATACAATTTTTTTAATACAAGAATTTTGATTTGGCTTTCTTTTTATAATTTCTGTAGTTTTGTTGATATTTTCATTTTGCTCTTATATTGTTTTTCTGATTTTTATTATTCCATGTCCATCTTTCCCTTCAGGTCTTTCAGCATAAGGGAAACACAGTTACTTTAAAATTTTGGCTAGTAAGTCCAAGCCTGTGTTTCTCTAGAGACAGTTTCTTCAACTTTATTGTTTGTTTGTTTGTTTTGAATGGATCAGATTTTTCTGATGTTTTCTGTATGCCTTGTTATTTTTGTTGCTGTCAAACATTGAATATTCAAAAAAAGCAGATTCCTCTCTCAGTCTTTGAAGACTGGCTCTGAGCCAAGGAAGTCATTCTCTAATCAGCAGAGCATTTTTTGAGCCTTAGAATCAGCCTGATATGAGGCTGAGGGTCTTCTCTGGTCTTTTCTGATCAGGAGTCTCAGATCAGACTTTTAAAAATTCATCCTTATGTGCCGTATACAGCTGCTTTTGAACATCTTCATTTCCCAAAGAGGTTCAACCCAGCTTTTCCTAAGAGATTTAGACTGTCTATTGTACATCTCTACTCATAATCTTTTACCCCCAGGTGCCTGTGGTTCTTTGTCTGCCTGCAGTATAAGAGCTGTGCCTGCCTCTTTCAACTATGTTGCCTGAACTGAGCTCCAACATAAGATAAAGAGGCAGCTCCCAGAAAGGTTAAAACATTAGAAATAATATCTGTTCTGTGTCCTCCAGTTTGAGAAAGAAAATTTAAAACTGAGCTGCAACATCCTGCAGACCAAGACCATGCTGCACCAGGAAGGAGGTGGGACAAGTTTGAACAAAATCACTTTAAAACTTACCATTATTTTTTAAATTTCTTGATTGGATGTTCACTAGTTGCTGTAGACATTTGTCTGTTTTTCAGGGCTCTTACAAAGTCTATTTCGTCAGTTTTTTGGGGTTTTTTTTTGTGTTGCATTGACAGAAGAACAAGATCATGGAGTTTCCTGGTCAACCATTTTGTTGATGTCACTCTTAGACTTCGATTTATGTTTATAAATATTATATGCTTATAAAGCTGTGATAAAATTTTCTACCATAGAAGTGGGAAATTTCTTTTTCCTTGTAATTCTATCAATATTTGCTACATATATATTTTATGAAACTTTAAATGCCTGTACAATTAGAATTGCTTTACTTAGTGAATTAAATTTTTATAATTATGTAATTGTCCTAATGATGCTTTTTATATCTCTATGTGGTATGGTATAAACATGACACACCAGATATTTTGTTAGTAATTTTATATCATATTGATTTTCATCCTTTTTTTCTCAACTGTGTGAATTTCTTCTGTATGTGGTTTCCTTACAAGGAACATAGGGTTGGGTTTTATTATTACTGTTGTTGTTGTTTCTATTATTATTATTAACATTACTCAACCTTAATCACTGCCTTTTAAATGGTCAATTTATTATAATTATTGTAAATATTGAAATATATAGACTTCTAACATCCTAGTTTTTTATTTGAATTTGACTCATTAAACGTCTTTTATGTTTGTTCTTTCTTAACACACATATACAAAGAAACAAACACAGATATCTACATTTATGCCTTCTTCCTAATTGGAAAATACTGTTTGATGTTTTCATATTCTTGATCTGTCAATAACCTGTGCCCTGAATATTATGTTGTTGCTTTGTATCATTTAAATTCTAGATAACTATGAATATAATCTTCTCCCTCTTTTCTTTGTTATTAGCTATATTTGTTGACAATTACAAAATTTATCAAGTTATTTAATCAACTTTACCTTGCCTGTCTCTTGCAACATCTGTTCTATTTGTTCATTTTATAATTTGGATAGATCCCCCAAAAAGATTTTCAAGGTGAGTCATTCTGTTGCAAATATTCTCAGGTCTTTGTGTCTTTGTAAGAATTAACTTATCCTGGCCTATATTAAACACCTATTTATGTGTTTTCTACTATTCTACTAGTTTTTAACTTTTTGTTTATTTGTTTATAACTTCTATTTCTTTTACCGCTTTTATTTTCCTTTTGAAAGGTGAAGCCAGCTGGACTTCCTGGGTCGAGTGGGGACTTGGAGAACTTTTCTGTCTTACAAGAGGATTGTAAAATGCAACTATCAGCACTCTGTCAAAATGCACCAACCAGCACTCTGGAGCTAGCAAGAGGATTGTAAAATGCACCAATCAGAGGTCTGTAAAATGTATCAATCAGGGATCTTAAAAGTAGCCAATCGCAGGAAGGATTGAAAAAAAGGGCATTCTAATAGGACAGAAATGGAACATGGTAGGGGACAAATAAAGGAATACAAGCTGGCCACCCCGGCCAATAGCGGCAACCCACTTGGGTCCCCTTCCACGCTGTGGAAACTTTGTTCTTTCACTCTTCACAATAAATCTTGCTGCTGCTCACTCTTTGGGTCTGTGCCACCTTTAAGGGCTGTAACACTCGCCGAGAAGGTCTGCAGCTTCATTCTTGAAGTCAGTGAGACCACGAACCCACAGGCAGGAACCAACTCCGGACACACTTTGGGAAAGTTTAATATTGTTTCTCAACTCATTAGTTCATTTTGTATATGTATTTATTCAACTATTTACCCTATAATTTCTAGTTATTCCTGAGTTCTTTTTTTCTGTTTCATATCACTAAAATTTTTTCTTTTAATTTTTAGTATATATATATATATATGACTTATTATAAATTCAGATAATCATTTTAAATGACCAATGTGGTCTACGATCTCTATCTTCTAGTATATTTGTAATCCAGTTATTTTTAAAGTAGTTATACTTCTCAGATTTCTATTTTTGCCTGTGACACTGGAGTAAGTCTAACTGGAAATGCATATCACACATCAAGGGCTGGCCAAACTTCAGTCAGTGTCACTCACACCCTTTCTCCAGTAGCATAATCAAAGAGAAGGATAGGTGGATTCTTAGAATAAGCAGCCCCAAGCACAGAAGAAACATTATCATTCACTCCAGTTTTATATCCACCTATAAGGAATTCTTTAAGTCAGTACCTTGCTTTTGGAAGCTGAGGGAAAAACAGAATTGAAGAAGGTATGCCCTAGGTCAGCAGTCTGCAGAAAATATCGAGTGGAACAAATACACCTCAGAACTAACGTGGTTTTGTACAGGATTTTTACTAAGAATGGTTTATACATTTTAAGAGTTTATAAAATAAATAATAATATGTGACAGAGATCTATGTGGTCTCCAAAATGTAAAATATTAAATATCTGGCCACTACAGATAAAAAGTTTCCTTATCCTTACCCTAGGTTGTAATCAAATGGCTTCAGAAGTTTGAAGAGGAAAGAGAAGAGTAAATGTTTAATGCTTGTCAAACTTCATGAAAAAAAGCTTTTGCACTATTTTGCCCATGTGGACACCTGGCCTAAGGGATGCATTTTTGCCACAGAATTTCATAGTGAAGGGGCAGGTGTTGATTAAAACAAGGCAATGGCAGGGGATACTAAGGAGCAGAATTCAACTATTCTAAAAAATATATTCAGCTCTGCATTCTCCATGTGTATACAAAAACACACATTCCCATCAATTCAAAATGACTTTTATTTCCGTAGGATGTTTCACACAGTTGATATTTACTTTCCTTAAAAAATGTTTAAAGATGTTTCATTTATTTCTTCTTCTTCTTGAGGGATTGAGACAGCAGCTCATGTTAATTCACCATTTTGGGAAGAATGGAATTAAGAATCATACTTACTTTAATTTGCTAAATCCTGTCACTTTTTTTTTCTTTTTTCTCTAACATTGAAGAAAATTGAAACAGGTGTTGTGCTCTCAAACTAAGGATAATTTCCGACTTGTTACCTGGTTACCAACAAAGAAAAAAGAGAAGCATCTTAACACCTGATTAATCACTCCAGACTCTGCCTGCTTGGGCTCTGTCACTCTTTAAATGTGTTACTTTGGACGAGTTACTTAAAGAGTTGTCTGTAAAATGTGAGTAATAATAATAACTAATTTATACAATTGAAATAAGAATCAAATGAATGTTTTTATGATACTTAAAACTGTGATTAACATAAGTGTTACTAAAGTGTTTATTAAATAAACATAATAAGAAAAATGTAAACAATTTAATATATTACTACCTCATCTTGCATTTCAAGGGTTTTAATAAGGCCACTTACATCGTGATGACCCAAACATTTGCCATCTTTTTATTCTTCTTTTTTGGGAAGTTAAATCTAACTTCTTGTTTATAATATGCATATAAGTCACTCTGAATTAACAGTTATGTCTTGTAATGGTTAATTGTATGACTCAATCTGACTGGCCATGAAGTATCCAGATTAAACATTATTTCTAGGCATGTCTATGAGGGTAATTCTGAGTGAAATTAGCATTTCAATTAGTGGACTCAATAAAATAGATTGGCCTCCCCAAAGTGGACAGACATTATCTGATCCACTGAGGCCCTAAATATAACAAAAAAACAAGGAATGATAAATTAGACTGTTTTTTTCTGCCTCACAGTTTGAGCTAGATCATCTCATTTCATCTTCTTTAGCCCTCAGACTGGCTGTGTTTTCATTGTTTCAGCAAATTAAGCCATCCCCAGATACCTAGTATGCAGCCATTGATCTGGTAAATGATTTTTCTCCAAACCTGTCCTTATGGCTGACCAGAGCAGTTTGCTTTCAGCTGACAAGGCCACCAGTACACCTTCACTGTCATGCCTCAGGGTTATATCAACTCCCTAGCCCGATGTCAGAATTTAGTTAACAGGGATCTTGATCACCTTTCCCTTCCACAAGATAGCACACTGGTCCATTACATTGATGATATTGTGCTGAATGGATTTAGCGAGGAAGAGGTACCGCCTACTCTAGACTTATTGATAAGACATCTGTATGTCAGGGAGGACAGGAAATAAATTTCACTAAATTCCATGGGATTTCTACCTCAGTCAAATTTCTGGGGTACAGTGGTATGAGTGGGGCCTCTTGAGATATTCCTGCTAAAGTGAAGGATTAGTTGTTGCATCTGGCTCTTCCAGCAACCAAGAAGTAGGTACAACTCCTAGCGGGACTCTTTGGATTTTGAAGGCCACATATTCCTCATTTGAGTGTGTAGTTTCAGCCCATTTACCAAGTGACTAGAGAAGCTGTTGATTTGGAGTGGGACTCACAATAAGAGATGGCTCTGTAATAAGTTCAGTCCTAAGTGCAAGCTGCTCTTCCACTTGCACCATATCATTCATCAGATAGGAATACTATTTGAAGCCCTTGGCCACCTCCTATAGGTGCAGTGGGGGTCTTTAAAATTTTGGAGCAAGATCCTGTCATTCTCTGAAGATGACTACTCTCCTTTTGAGAAACAGTTCTTGGCCTGTGACTAGCCTTTAGTAGAGACTGAACGCTTAACCATCTCCACCAATTTACCATGTAACCTAAGCTTCCCATCATAAAATGGGTGTTATCTAACCAGAAAACTCATACAATTGAGCATGCACAGCAACACTACATCATCAAACAGAAGTGACATATGAATTACTTGGCCTGAGAAGATCCTGAGATGCAAGTAAGTTACATGAAGAAGTGGGTCAGGTACCTATTGTCCTTATTCCTACTATGCTACTTTCTCTCTTTTACCCTTTACGTATGACCTCGTGGTGAATAACTTAAGATCCTTTGACAAAGGCAGAGAAAACTTAAACCCTGTTTACATCTGCATAATATGCAGGCAGCATTCAAAAGTCAACAGCTGCAGATCTACTGCCCCCCTCTGGTATATTCCTGAGGGAGAGTGGCAAAGGGAAATTTTCTCAGTGGGCATAACTTGGAGCAGTGCACCCAGTTATTCACTTGGCTTGGAAGAAGAAATGGCCAGAGGTGCAATTGCATACTGATTCATGGGCTGTGACCAGTAGTTTGGCTAGTTGGTCAGGGACTTGGAAGGAACATAATTGTAAAATTGATGACAGACATGTGAGGAAGAGGTTTGTGGTTAGACCTCTCTGAATGGGCAAAAATTATGAAGGCTTTGTGTCTTATGTGATTACTCACTAACAAGAGACCTCAGCAAATAATTTTAATGGTTAGTGGATAGAATACCCATTTTCCAGATACTAGTCAGCCTCTTTCCCCTGCCACACCATCGTTGCTCAGTGGTTCACGAAGTGGCCATGGCAGCAGAAATGGAGACTTGCTTAGCAACATGGCTTTTAACTCACCAAGGGCAACTTGGCTATGACCACCACTGAGTGTCCAGTCTGCCATCAAAAAGAACTGAATCCCCGAGATGATACCTTTACCCAGGGTAATCAGCCAACTACCTGTTGGCAAGTTGATTACATTTGACCACTTCCATCAAGAAAGGAGCTGCATTTTATTGTTTGTGGAATAAACACTTACTCTGGAAATTAATGTGCCTTCTCTGCATGCAGTTCTTTTGCCAAAACTACCATTTGGGGACTTAAAAAATGTCTCAGTCACTGTTATGACACCCTACACACTGTTGTTTTAGATCAAGAAACTCAGTTTACAGCAAAATAAATGTGACAATAGATAGGTCCATGACCATGAAGTTCATTGGCCTTACCATGATGCATACCATCTTGAAGTAGTTGGCTTGATGGAACAGTGGAATAGCCTTTTGAAGACTCAGTTACAACAACAGCTAAATGTAAACACCGTGCAAGCCTGGGGAAAGGTTTTCCAGAAGGCTGTGCTGTGAATCAGTGTCCAATATATGGTGCTGTTTTTCTCATAGCCAGGACTCATGGGTCCAAGAATCAAGTGGTAGAACTGGAGTGACAATGTTCACTAGCATCCATAGTGACCAACCAGCAAGATTTTGCTTCCTGTTTCTGTGATTTTATGCTCTGCTGGCCTAGAGGTCTTAGTTCCTGCGGGAGGAATGCTTCCACCGGGAGAGGTAACAATGATTTCATTGAACTTGAAATTAAGACTTCCACCTGGCCTCTTAGGGCTCTTCACATCTCCAAATCAACAAAGATGGAAGTTACAATGTTGGCTGAGATGATTGATCCTGATTACCAAGGGAGATATTGGACTGCTACTCCATAATGGAGATAAGGAAGAGTATGTCTAGAATACAGGAGATCTCTTATGGTGTTTCTTAATATCCCCGTGCCTTGTGATTAACTTGAATGGACAACTATAACAATCTAAATAGAAACCTGTAACAATCCATCTAAGCAGGACTACTAATGGCCCAGACTCTTCAGCAATGAACTTTGGGTGCTTCATTGAACACCCAAACTTCAGTTGAGGTGCTTGCTGAAGTCAAAGAGAATAGAAAATAGGTAGTGGAAGAAGATAGTTATAAATAACAGCTACGACCATGTGATCAGTTACAGAAAGGAGAATCATAATTGTCATAACCAATTTTTCCTTAATTTCCTATGAGTACATTCATATATTCGTGTGTATGTGTGTGTGTGTAAAATCTTTGTTGTGTTTTGCTTTCTTATTCCCTTATGATGTAACATAAAATGTATTGATTTTAATTCATACAAATTTCATTTTAGTATTGTTAATTTTACATCATGTTACATCATAGTATTTAGGTTACATGATGTCAAGGAGAAGAGTAAACATCGACCAAAGAATTTGCCTCCCCTTTTGGGAAGAAGTAAGCATGTTTTTGTTTTTTTGCATGGTACTTGTATCACGTTAGGCAGTGTTATGATCTTGTTATAATCTTTACTTGAAGATTAAGTATTGTTTAAGGAGATGCATATGGGTGCCGAATGGACAAGGAGTGTAATTAGGATGGTTAATTTTATGTGTCATCATGACTGGCCATGGGGTGCCCAGATTAACCGTAATTTCCTAGTGTGTCTGTGAGGGTCTTTCCAGTTGAGATTAGCATTTGAATTGGTGGATCAGTAGATTGTGGATCTCCATTGTGAGTGGGCATCTCCCAATCTCCTGAGGGCCTAAATAGAACAAAAGGGGGAGGAAAAAGTAACTCACTCTTTTTATTTTTATTTTTTTCCTGCTACAATGACCGAAACATTTCAACTCATTTTCTTTGATTCTCAGACTGGAAATTATACCCCCCTTGGCTCCACTGGTTCTCAGGCCTTTAGTCCAGGACTGAATTACTCCATTGGCCTTCTTTGGATTCCAATTTGTATTTAGCAGATTATGGGACTTAATCTCCACAGTCTCATGAGCCAATTCTTCATTATAATTCCCTTGATGCACATATGGGTTCTGATACATTGATAGATCAATAGCCTATATAACCAATATATATATATATCCCCAGAGAACCCTAATACATGTCTTATTTAAGAATATATTTTTACTAAAATTTTTCATCTGTGAAAACAAGCAAAATGTCCTATCAGACCTTAGAAACATTTAATTTTCAGACTTTTTTTTGGCAATACTAAATCTCAAAGCCAAAGAACTATTTGCAGGTATCTAAAACGTGCTTTGATGATGTATACTGAAGTGGAGGCAATTCCCAAGCTTCTTTAAAATCTCTACATAATCTCATGTGTGATTTTATATTTTTCAATAATTGGTTTTTATTATGATATTTTATGTGTAGATATAGTTGTGAAGTCTAAACATGCTCAAAATAGCACACATTTTATCATTTATACTTTCTAATAATTTACTATAATGCCCCAGTACTTATTATTTAATAAAGCATGGACATATTTGAATAATTCCTTTAAAGATTAAAGATAATTAAATAACAAATTTACTTTGCTAAAAGAAAGAACCATAAGAAAAAATGACCACTTAATAGGATTTATAAAATGTACTTCCAAAAAGACTCCAATTACTTCTAAAAAGCTCTGATTACTTCTGGAATAATATAATTTCAGTTTCATGAGAACCATTGTGATTTAAAATAAAATATGAATATTTATTAATTTTGAAAAAGTAAAACCTGTTAGACTTTCTTACATTTAGCAGCAAGATATTTTATGACAAATGTTTCAATACATATTTTACAACATAAAAGAACAACGATGAAAAACAAAACCTTGCAAGAAAGAACTGGTGTTGACACATTAGTATTTTGCTAACCTCTAGAATTTGTCTTTTCAATACTCAGTATTTACATAGTATAATATATTCTCAAAGTGCTCTTTGATCTTTAATTAGTTAATTCTTATGACACTTTTATGAGATAGGTCACAACTTTGAAGAGGAAATAATTTACCTTTATAAAATGACATCAGAGTGTGCCCAATAGGAATCTATAGTAATTCAGGTGTCAGGTAACTAAAGATTAAATCATTGATAATTCTCTGAAGCTAGTCATGCTGTCTAGTGTTATTTTTATTTTAAATACTAAATTTCTATATAGCAGTATCAAAAGCAGAAAATGAAGTAGCAACTGCAAGGCCATTTGTTTCTAATTTAGGAAATTAACAAAGACTGAGCAAAACTTTTGCATGTAAAATAATGTGGCTTTGATTATCTTAATTCTGTATTTCACTCCTTTCCCAGGTACCTGAATGTGGACACTCTACTTAACCTCTCTGATCCTCATTTCTCATATGTTAAAGTAGTTATCATTATATATCCTATAGGAGTATAAAGAAGATTAGGCAAAATATATCTAAAGTAATTAAAGAAGTACTCAACACTCAATAAATGTTATTTACTTCTGTTGTATTAATGACATAATGAAAATAACAATGAAGCAGAGGAGGCGGAGAAGTAAAAGTGTAATAACACAAATTATAACTTCATGGTTACATGGTTTCAACCTTTTACTACTCAAGTTGAGCTTTCTCAGACTTTCAGATGTTTACAAAACAAGCCTGTTTCTATTGAGTGCTGCTAGTCACCTAGGCTTGTAATCCATTATGTCCTAGAAGTAGTACCTAGGTTAATAGGGAGAGAGGAACTGTGATGCAGTGTCTGGTAACAGATTTATTATACAATTGGGTAACGACACTGATGTGGTTTGGCTCTGTGTCACCACCCAAATCTCATCTCAAATTGTAATACCCACGTGTCGAGGGAGGAACTGGTGGGAGGTTATTGGATCATAGGAGTGGTTTCCCCCATTCTGTGCATGTGATAGTGAGGGAGTTCTCATGAGATCTGATGATTTTAAAAGTGTTTGGCAATTTCTCCTTTTCTCTCTCTCTCTCCTGCTGCCATGTGAGATGTGCCTTGCTTCCCCTTCACCTTCCACCATGATTGCAAATTTCCTGCAGCCTCCCCAGCAATGCAGAACTGTGAGTCAATTAAACCTGCTTATACATTACCTGGTCTCAGGTAGTATCTTTTTAGCAGACTAATAGAAACACCTAGTAAACAATCTTTACAGGGCCAAGTGGGAAATTTCTTCTTTTTTTTATTTTTATTTTTTTGAGATGGAGTCTTGCTCTGTCACCCAGGCTGGAGTGCAGTGGCGTGATCTCAGCTCACTGCACGCTCCGCCTCCCAGGTTCACGCCATTCTCCTGCTTCAGCCTCCCCAGTAGCTGGGACTATGGGCGCCCGCCACCACACCCAGCTAATTTTTTTTGTATTTTTAGTAGAGACGGGGTTTCACTGTGTTATCCAGGATGGTCTCGATCTCCTGACCTCATGATCCACCCTCCTCGGCCTCCCAAAGTGCTGGGATTACAGGCGTGAGCCACCACACCCGGCCAGAAATTTATTCTAAAAATTACGTGAATGTAAAGAAAAAAGAATAAACCACTGTTAAGAACAAAGTTGGAGACATAACAGAAATAAAGATTTATTTAAAAGGTAGATTAAGACAATGTGGAATTAGCCAGAATCGACAAACTGACCAACAAATCTAATAAAAAAGCTCATAAATAGACCAAACATTTACATAAACTTTATATATGACAGAGCCGGCATTGCAGATAAGTATTAACTGCACTATTTGAAAAATGGTGCTAGACAATTGGTTGTGTGGAAAAATAAAATAAAATGAATTCTTTACCTAAAACTATATACAAAATTTAATTCCAGATGAAATAATAACATATCTGTACAATTAAGTTTTAAAGCTTTTAAGAAAAAAGTAGCTTCATGGTCTTGAATTGGGGAAGGTTTCATAAGCAAGACACAAAAAGGGTTAAACATAAAACAAAAATCAGGCCTTAAAATTAAGATACCAGAAAGAAAAAAAAAAGTGACAGGCTGGAAGTATATATTTGCAAGAAATAATCTGCTGAAAGGTCATTACTATGTTTGGTGCAAAAGTAATTGTGATTTTTGTACTTTTAATGGCAAAAATCTCAATTACTTTTGCACCAACCTATAGTAATGATCTTTTGGCAGATCATTTGTTGCAAATATATAATTTCAGCTTTTCACTTTTTTTCTTCCTAGTATCTTAATTCTATTAAGATAATATTAATAATGATAATTTATATGCAAATTATTTGTCTTATTGACTTTCAGAAATTTAGCCCTACCTGGTCCCACTGCTTCACCTTTTGCTGTCTGCATTATACCTCCACACAGCAACCAGAATGGTACTTTACAAATGTCATATTACACGTCTGCTAAAACTGCAATATCTCCCCATTTCAGTTGCATTAAAAACCAAAGTCCTGTTAGTTCTCTGAACTCATCTCCCACTGTTCTCCCTCTTGTTCACTTTTCTTCCAGCTATACTGACTTTTTTGCTCTCCCATGAAAATATCCACTAAACACTCCCTACTTGCATTTTTCACCCTATGACTGGAGCCTCATGAAATTCATTTAACACCTTTTGGGTTTTGATCAAAGGACACCTTGTCAATGCAATTTACTCTGACCACTCTACTTAAAATTGTTCTCATCCCCATTCCTGGCACTCCCATCCATCTTATCTTGCTTCTTTATTTAAGCACTGTATTGGTTTGCCAGGGCCACCATAACAAAACGTCACAGATTGTGTGGCTTAGCCAACAGAAATTCATTTTCTCACAGTTCTGGAGGCAGAAATCCAGGGTCAAGATGTTAGCAAAGTTGATTTTTCTTTCTGAGGCTTCTCTCCTTAGCCCTCAGAGAGCCAACCTCTTGCGGCACTCAGTAGCCTTTCCTGTGTGATTGCTTATCCCTGGTGTCTGTCTCTGTGTCCCAATCTCCTTTTCTCATAGGGAAACCAGTTGGATTGTATAAGGAACTATCCTTACAGACTTGTTTTAATTTAATTACCAATTTAAAGACCTTAACTCCAAATATTATTACATCTGATGTTGTGGGTGTTAACGCTTTAACATATAAATTTTGGGGGTCACAATTCCATCTATAGCAAGCGCTTATCACTTTATAACATAAAATACGTTTATTATATATGATTTTCGCCTTTTACCCTCATTAGAACGTAAGCACCACAAAAGCAGGATTTTTTTCTGTTTTATTCTCTGAAGGATCCTAAGCATTTATTTCAATGCTTGGCATGTAGTAAGCACATAATATATATTTGTTGAATAAATAAAGAGATTTTTATGGAAAATAAATGAAATCAACCAAGTATCACAGACAAGACAATTAACGTCAACGATATTATACAAACAATATAATGAATATATTATGCTATAATCAAACAATGAAGTGATTTTCAAATATTACTGTAAGTGTGCATCTCCTGGGAATCTTGTTAAATGAAATTTGTACTCAAGGATTTGATAGTGGTGCCAAAGATTCTACATTTCTAACAAATTTCTGGGTGATCTCAATGTTGTTGGTCCAGGGAATGGGAACACACTTTGTGTAGCTGAGCCATACAAAAGGAAGATGAATGTACCTCACAATGAATCTCAATGACTCATGTTCAGTCAAACAACCAAGTGCAGTATAATTCTATTTATGTTACTGTCAAATGCAAGTAAAATTAGATGATATATGGTTTAAGGATATATTTACATGTGGAAGAATTATAAAGTGAAGCAAAGAATAATTAAAATAAGTTTTAGATTAGTGGTTACAGCTGAGAGTGCAAAAGAGGGCTCAATTTGAGAGAGATATTCAAGGGTTTTAGATATAATAGTTAATCTTGTATTTTAATCTCAGTGATGGGTATATAATTACATATTTCCTCTGTGGTTTTTAAACTGGGCATGTATTCTAAGGAACTCTCTTTCATGTCTTGGAAATATTTTGCAAAAACAGAGAAAGCAGCAGTAAAAGGAGAAAAATACTTAGAAAAAGTAAGAAGAATGCAAGTGAACAGAGTGAAATATCTTTTGTCCTTCTGTCCCAAACATTTATCAGCCTCTGCTCAATACTGAGCCAGAGAGAAATTAAAATTATTTTCTGCCAGTAAGTAGCTCTTGGTCTAGTCGAGACAGAAGATTTACAAACAAATACATGTAAAAAAAATTAAAAGAAAACAAAAAAAAGTGTCTTCTGTACTTTCTAACAAAGATTAAAACACCATCTAAAATTATTTTAAAGATAAGAAATCATATATATATATTTTAATTGCTTTGTGAACCACTATTGACATGCTTACTTTAAATCCTTTCGTCTAAGATTGCTGTAGGTGGTGTGAACGTTTTGCAACTGATACGCACAGGAGCAAAATAAGAGAAAGTACCTAGTTAAAACAAAGTTTCTAACACTAATATGTTTAAAGTTTCTGTGTTTTAATATCCTTTTGTATGTTTTGTGATCTGGCTTTCCAGGGGTGCTTAACGCTTTCAAAACTTTGCTGTCGGAAGTGCCATTTACAGGACATCTAGAGAATTTCACCACAGAGAAATGCAGAGAATAGTACTCTATTTCTGAGGATATTTAAGCTATTTCAACATTTGAATTTTGTTATAAAAGAAATATATTTGTTCCCAAATGTTACATTAGTTATACAGGGATAGCATAACACAAGCTTTCATGAAATTTGCAATTCAGAAAAGCTCTTCTTGTGATAATGCACAATGTTTAGATAGGCATTCATTGTACAACTGGTTTTAATAAAAGACTCAGCCATAAATGGAGCCTTTTCAGTGTATAAAACTGATTAAATATTGGGTTAAGAGAACTATGCTGTTTACTTGTTCAGTAGCTTCACTCATAAAAAGAGTAGAATTTTGAGATTTTCAGATAACATGCTGGCTTCATTTCTCTAACCCTTTAACAGGCACATTTTTTGCATTGCCAAATAAAAAGCAAATCCAGAATGAGTAAGGAGAGACTTTTATTCAAAAGGATTATTGCAAGGGAGGGGAGAAGGACTACTGGAGTAGGGTGAATGCTGACTGTAAGGTCTGCCAGTGTTTCAAGAATTAGGCAGAAATGGTTTTTTGTTTGTTTGTTTTTGTTTTTGTTTTTTTTCTTACAGAGAGAAGAAAACAAGGCTTGAAAGAACCCCAGTGTGGGGGAAGTAGGATGAAAGGGTGGTATGAGACAATAGTAGATCACAGAATGTTTTACCCTGAGGCCAGACTATTATGAGGAGGGTTTCCCTGTTGTCTCAGGCTGAGGATAGACCAATGTACAGGGGTCTGGAGGAAGGAAAGAAGCCTAAGTTGCGTTAACAGGTATTTTATTCCCGTTGATCTTTGTGGATAAAACATTTCAGCCAATCATTTATAAGGCAAAAAAAAAAAAGGGATTTGGAGGGACTTTATGGAGTCTTGTTATCAGTTAAGCAAGGAAGCGGCCATTGTTGAGTCTTATCAAAGTCATATGAGGAAGGATGGTTCTTTCCAGTAATCCATTTTGCAAAACAAAAAAATGATAGGATCGTTTTAACTTGAGTTGTTTCCTGAGAGCATGAGGCTTAGGAAAAATTCCAGATTGTCAGCATGATAAAAGGGTCCTTAAAAGCTATAGCTTTATTTTAAAGTTATTGTAAAAGAGGCCTCGTTAGGTTAAATAACTTCTTTTGGGTCAAAAACCAAGTCAACAGCAGAGTAAAGCCAGGACTATACTCATTTCTTCTCCTTCCAAGAATACAATTTTGCCAGAGATCATCTAGATTTTGAGAGGACTGAAATTTGTACAATATAAGAGTCCACTTCAAAGAGAAGTATTCAAGAGAAAGAATACAAAATGGTTAATAAATTAGATATAAAAGTAAATACTTATGTAGAATAAGAAAATATATGATAAGAAATTACACATTTTAACAGACAACCTATAGAATAGGAGAAAAATTTTGCAAACTATGCATAATTTGAATAAGGCAAAATATTCAGAATCTACAAGAAACTTACACAAATCAACAAGAAAAAGAAATAACCTAATTAAAAAGTGGGCAGAGGACATGAACAGGTACTTATCAAAAGAATAGATACTTCTCAATAACAAACATATGAAAAAATGCTCACTAATAATCAGGGAGATGGAAATCAAAACCACAATGAGATGCTATCTCACACCAGTCAGAATGGCAATTATTAAAAAGTCAAAAAATAACAGATATTGGTGAGGTTGCAGAGAAAATAGAATGCTTATATACTGCTTGTGGAAATGTAAATTAGTTCAACATCTATGAGAAACAGTGATTTTTCAAAGAACTAAAACTAGAACTATCATTAGACCCAGCAATCTCAATATTGAGTATATACTCACAGGAAAATAAATTGTTCTACCAAAAAGACACCTGCCCTCACATGTTTTTCACAGTACTATTTACAGTAGCAAAGACATGGAATTGAGAGACAGGACTAGCTGGATTTCTTAGGCTGACTAAGAATCCCTAAGCCTAGCTGGGAAGGTGACCTCTTCCACCTTTAAACACAGGGCTTGCAACTTAGCTCACACCCGACCAATCAGATAGTAAGGAGAGCTCACTAAAATGCTAATTAGGCAAAAACAGTAGGTAAAGAAATAGCCAATCATCTGTTGCCTGTTGCCTGAGAGCACAGCGGGAGGGCCAATGATCGAGATAGAAACCCAGGCATTTGAGCCAGCAATGGCAACCCCCTTTGGGTCCCCTCCCTTTGTATGGGAGCTCTGTTTTCACTCTATTTCACTCTATTAAATCTTGCAACTGCACTCTTCTGGTCCGTGTTTGTTATGGCTTGACCTGAGCTTTCGCTCGTTGTCCACGACTGCTGTTTGCCACTGTCACAGACCCACCACTGACTTCCATCTCTCTGGATCCGGCAGGGTGTTCACTGTGCTCCTGATCCAGCAAGGCGCCCATTGCCACTCCTGATCGGGCTAAAGGCTTGCCATTGTTCCTGCATGGCTAAGTGCCTGGGTTCATCCTAATCGAGCTGAACACTAGTCACTGGGTTCCACGGTTCTCTTCCGTGACCCACGGCTTCTAATAGAGCTATAACACTCACCACATGGCCCAAGATTCCATTCCTTGGAATCCGTCAGGCCAAGAACCCCAGGTCAGAGAACACGAGGCTTGCCATCATCTTGGAAGCGGCTCACCACCATCTTGGGAGCTCTGTGAGCAAGGACCCCCGGTAACAGAATCATCCCAGGTGCTTGTCACCAGTGGATTGGATAAAGAAAATATGGCCTATATGCACTGTGGAATAATATGCAGCAATAAAAAAGGATGACGTCATGTCCTTTGAAACAACATGGATGTAGCTGGAGGCCATTATCCTAAGTGAATTAATACAGAAACAAAAAAACAAATGCCACATGTTTTCACTTAAAAGTGGGAGCCAAATACTGGATACAGATGAACACAAAGATGGGAATGATAAATACTGAGGATTCCAAAAGAGGAGGAATGAGGAAGGGGGACAAGGATTGAAAAACTACCTGTTGGGTACTATGTTCACTATTTGGGCCATGAGATCATTAGAAGTCAAAACCTCAGCATCACACAATATACCCAAGTAAGAAACCTGCTCATTTATCTCCTTAATCTAACATTTTGAAAAGCTACAAATAACACAAGTATCAAAATAGAAGAAAATTAGCATATTCAGAAACAATGCCATACTCTTTGACTCTTCATAGAAAAATCATATTTGAACAACATTTTGTATAGAAAGATTAGAAAGACAAATAAGTCTCCTTGTAACATGGTTGATTAAAATTAGTTTTTACATTATGGATATTTTTTGAAAGTTTGTTTTAGCTTCAAGACCTGTTTATTTTAAGGCCGAGTAAACATTTAGAATTTTTGTCAATTTGGGTGAAACCTGTATTGAATTATATTCATGAGCTATAAGATTTCATGGCATTTCAAAGTTTTCCTGTACAGTATTTGTAAATTCCTTTAAATTGAAGACACACAGCTTGTCTTCTAATCTTCATTGTAGAGCTGAGTTTTGATTAGTGTCAAAGATATCAGCATTTCATATAAAAGGAGCAAAAAATGAATCTTTTCTTCATTATGTTTATTTGATTCCCTCCTTCATATTAATTTGGACGACAAAAAACTTCATTTCCTGTATTCAAAATTTATCTTTTCTTTAATTTTTAGTATGTTCTTTCTACCATTTTTTTTTCAGGGATCACCAGAATTCATCAGGACAAGATATCCTCAGTATATAAAGACATGATTCAATACATTGAGATACACGACACAAGGGACTTCACACAAATTTCTGCATTTCACAAGATTTTTTCTTCTCTACTATCCATATTCTTCCAGTGTTGTGGAACATGTTCATATTACTATAGAACATCTTTCTCTGCTCCTTCTTGCCACCATGCCAGGTGAGTTGGCACAACATACTTCAGATATATTTTTGGAAGACATTCCTATGCTGAAACAATTGGTAGCAGCTTAACTATGCAAAGAAATGACTCAAAGCACAGCAATAAATCGTAGTACAGTAGATAATGCTCTTCCCAAGTATAGTATAGATTGAGGTGATCATCATTAGGATAGTTTTGCTGACTTAGTCTCAAAGACTGGGGCTTATTCACTGTAAAATATTCACCGAAAAAAGAATAATTGAAGTGACACATAGGTTACTTAAAAAATCTACTAATTTCTTCTGTGATCCACAAGGTAGCTTGCATTTTTGTAGTTGTTTATAGATGAACATGTTAAGACTTCTCTGTAGTTTTGTAGAAATGCAACTTACTAGTAAAATTCACCTGAACCTCAGAGAAACAAATTAGTCTTCTGAAATTCCCACTTCTCAAATTATTATGTGAATATGTGCCTATTATAGAAATACTTATAAATGTCCTTGTCCTGTGGGAATATTGTAGAGACTGAGAAACAGCCAACTGCTCTTCACAACAGCAGCAAATAGAGGTATTTACTTTTTAAATTAGGGCCAATTCTTCAGATTTGATCCAGTACAAAAATGTATATATTTATGTAATAACTGCAACTTCAGCAAAGTGCCATCTAGATAAGTGACAAAGACCTACATAGTTGCTATTACGTTAGTCTGTATTTTCTTTTATTACAGCTTTAACAGATCTCTAAAAATAACCAACTCTATAATGTGAGAAATTAACAAGATATAATAATTTTTAAAAGTTCCATTTTGTGCATCATTTTGGATCTTTACATTGATTTTATCCAGAAGATTATATTAAGAATTGTCCAAGTATTCTCATAAAATAATATTGGCATGAATAAGGAACACTACAAATAGTCCAAAGAGTGTCAGTCTTGAGTTGTTGTTGTTTGGTTTTTTTTTTTTTTTTTGGCTTTTTGTTTTTTTTTCTCCAATAAGGATGATCAACAGTAATCATACAACCAAGCAGTCTTTTGAGTTTATCAGGAGGGGAAGCTAACAGTTGAGCTTACCTCTCAGCTGGTATAATCATGTTTTGGACAAAACATAATTTAAACCAACAAAGATCAAAAAAGATAAATAAAAGCATCACATAATAATAAATGATTCAATTAAACAGGAAAATCTGTTATAAATATATGTGCACCTAACACAGGAGCACCCAGATACATAAACCAAGTTCTTAGAGACCTTCAAAGAGATTTAGACTCCCACACAGTAATAGTGGGAAACTTTAACACCCCACTGACAGAAAAGATTAGGCAGATCATCAAGACAGATAATTAACACATATATTCAACATCTGAACTCAGCACTGGATCAAATGGACCTCATAGATATCTACAGAACTTTCCACCCGAAAGCAGCAGAATATACATTCTTCTCATTGCCACATGGCACATACTCTAAAATCGATATTAATTTTAATGAATTTTAATAATTTGAAGTAAAACATTCCTCAGCAAATGCAAAAGAACTGAAATGAAAACAATCACTTGGACCACAATACAATCAAATTAGAAATTAAAAATAAGAATAAGAGAATTCACTCAAAACCATGCAACTACATAGAAATGGAATAACCTACTCCTGAATGAATTTGGGGTAAATAATAAAATAAAGCAGAAATCAAGATGTTCTTTGAAACTAATGAAAACAAAAATACAACATACCAGAATCTCTGGGAGAAAGAAAGATTCTTTCTGTATGGTTAGAAAAAGCTAACCCAGAGTTAAGAGGAAATTTATAGTACTAAATGCCCACATCAAGAAGTTAGAAAGAACTCAATTTAAAAACCTAAAATAGCTAGAGATCCAAGAGCAAACAAATTTCAAAGATAGCAGAAGGCAAGAAATAACTAAAATCGGCTGGGTACGGTGGCTAGTGTATGTAATCCCAGCACTTTGGAGGACGATGCGGGCTGATCACTAGAGCTTAGGAGTTTGAGACCAGCCTGGTCAACATTGTGACACCCCATCTGTACTAATAATACAAAAATTAGCCAGATGTGGTGGTGCATACCTGTAATCCCAGATACTTGAGACCCTGAGGCACAAGAATTGCTTGAACCCAGGAGATGGAGGTTGTAGTGATCCAAGAACATGCCACTACACTCCAGCCTGGGTAACCAAGTTACACTCTGTCTCAAAAAATAAAAATAAAAAATAAAAAAATAAAAAATAACCAAAATGAAGGCTGGGTGCTGTAGCTCTCACCTGTAATACCAGCACTTTGGGAGGCCAAGGCAGGCAGATCACTTGAGGTCAGGAGTTCGAGAACAGCCTGGGCAACATGGTGAAACTGCATCTCTACTAAAAATAAAAAAATAAGCTAGAGGTGGTGGCATGTGCCTGCAGTGCCAGCCATGCAGGAGGCTGAAGCAAGAGAATCACTTGAATCCGGAAGTCAGAGGGTGCACTGAGCTGAGATTGTGCCACTGCATTACAGCCTGGGTGACAGAGCAAGACTCTGTCTCAAAAAATAAAAAATAAAAATAAAAATAAATAACCAAAATCAGAGCTAAACTGAAGGAGATAGTGATGAACACAAAAAACTTCAAAAGATCAACAAACCAAGAGCTGGGTTTTTTGAAAAATAAAATAAAATAGACTACTAACTAGACTCATAAAGAAGAAAAGAGAGAGGATTCAAATAAACAATAAACATAGTCAGAAACGACAAGCGGGATAATAACACTGACCTCACAGAAATGCAAATAACCATCAGAGAGTATTATAAACACCTCTATGAACACAAAATAGAAAATCTAGAAGAAATGGATAAATTCCTGGACACATACAGCCTCCCAACATTAACCAATAAGAAATCGAACCCCGAACAGACTAATAACAAGCTCTGAAATTGAGTAGGAAATAAATAGCCTACCAACCAAAAAAAGCCAAGAATGAGACAGATTCACAGCTCAATTCTGCCAGATGTACAAAGATTTGGTACCATTCCTGCTAAAACTATTACAAGAAATTGAGGAGGAGTGACTCCTCTCTAAAGCATTCTATGTGCCCAGGATCATGCTGATACAAAAACCTGGCAGAGACACAACAAAAAATGAAAACTTCAGGCCAATGTTCATGATGAAAATCAATGCGAAAATCGATGCAAAAATCTGCAACAAAATAATGGCAAACCAAATACAGCTGCACATCAAAAAGCTTATCCACCATGATCAAGGAGGCTTTTTCCCCAGGATGCAAGGTTGATTCAACATGTGCAAATCAATAAATGTGATTCATCACATAAATAGAACTAAAGACAAAAAACAGACGATGATCTCAATAAATGAAAAAAAGACTTTTGATAAAATTCAACATCCATTAATGTTAAAAACTCACAACAAACTAGGTATTGAAGAAAAATACTTCAAAATAATAAGAGCCATCTATGAAAAACCCACAGCCAAAATCATACTAAATGGGCAAAACCTGGATGCATTCCCGTTGAAAACGAGCATAAGACAAGAATGCCCTCTCTCACAAATACTAGTCAACATAGTGTTAGATATCCTGACCAGCGCAATCAGGCAAAAGAAAGAAAGAAAGGGCAGCCAAATAGGAATAGAGGAAGTTCAACTATCCCTGTTCGCAGATGACATAATCCTATAACTAGAAAATTCCATAGTTTCAGCCCAAAAGCTTCTTAAGCTGATAAACAACTTCAGCAAAATCTTAGGATACAGAAACAATGAGCAAAAATTAATAATATTCCTGAGAGCCAAATCAGAAACAAATTCCGATTCGCAATTGCCACAAACAGAATAAAATACCAGCTGGGCGTGGTGGCTCATGCCTGCAATCCCAGCACTTTGGGAGGCCGAGGCGGGTGGATTGCTTGAGGTCAGGAGTTCGAGAACAGTCTGGCCAGCATGGTGAAACCCCGTCTCTACTATAAATACAAAAAAATTAGCCGGGCGTGGTGGCATGCGCCTGTAATCCCAGCTACTCAGGAGGCTGAGGCAGGGGAATTGCTTGAACCAGTGAGGTGGAGGTTGCAGTGAGCCGAGATCGTGCCACTGCACTCCAGCATGGGTGACAGACTGAGACTCTGTCTCAAAAAAAAAAAAATAAAATAAAAAATAAATAAATACCTAGGAATACAGGAGGCAAAAGATCTCCACAAGGAGAACTACATACCACTGCTCAAAGAAATCAGAGATGGGCTGGCGCAGTGGCTCATGCCTGTAATCCCAGCACTTGGGTGGAGGCGGGCGGATCACGAGGTCAGGAGATTGAGACCATCCTGGCTAACATGGTGAAACCCCGTCTCTACTAAACACACAAAAAATTAGCCGGGTGTGGTGGCGGGCGCCTGTAGTCCCAGCTACTCGGGAGGCTGAGGCAGGAGAATGGCGTGAACCCAGGTGGCGGAGCTTGCAGTGAGCCGAGATCGGGCCACTGCACTCCAGCCTGGGCTACAGAGCAAGACTCCATCTCAAAAAAAAAAAAAAAAAAAAAAAAAAATCAGAGATGACGGGAAAACATTCCATGCTCATGGATAGAAAGAATCAATATCGTTAAAATGGCCATACTACCCAAAGCAATTTACAGATTCAATGATACTCCCATTAAACTACTCTTAACTTTCTTCACCAAATTAGAAAAAATCTATTTTAAAATTCATATGGAATGAAAAAAAGAGCCTGAATAGCCAAGAAAATCCTAATAAAAAGGACAAAACTGGAAACATCACAGTACCTGACTTCAAAATATACTACAGGGCTACAGTAACCAAAATATCATGGTACTGGTATAAAAACAGACACAAATGCCAATGGAACAGAATAGAGAACCCAGAAATACGAACATGAGCCTGTAACTATCAGATCATTGACAAATCTGACAAAAACAAGCAATGAGGAAAGAATTCCCTATTCAATAAATGCTGCTAGGATAACTGGCTAGCCATAAGCAGAAAATTGAAACTGGACCCTTTCCCTATACCTTACACAAAAATTAACTCAAGATGGATTAAAGACTTAAATGTAAAACCCAAAACTATAAAAACCCTGGAATAAAACTTAGACAATACCATTCAGGATGTTGACATGGGCAAAGATTTCATGATGAAGATACCAAAGCAATTGTAATATAAGCAAAAATTGACAAATGGGATCTAATTAAACTAAATAGCTTCTGCCCAGCAAAGGAAGCTATCAACACAGTAAACAGTCTACAGAATAGGAGAAAATTTTTGAAAATTATGCATCTGATAAAGTCTAATAGCCAATATCTATAAGGAACTTAAATAAATTTACAAGAAAAAACTAACAACCTCATAAAAAAGTAGGCAAAGTACGTGAACAGACACTTTTCAAAAGAAGACATACAGCCAAGAATCATATAAAAAGAAGCGCAATATCACTGATAATTAGAGAATTGCAAATGAATATCACAAGATTCTATGTCCCATGTCAGAATGGCTAGTAAAAGTCAAAAAATAACAGATGCTGGCGAGGTTGCAGAGAAAAAGGAATACATATTATACACTGTTGGTGGGAGTGTAAATTAGTTCAGCCATTATGGAAGACAGTGTGGTGATTCCTCAAAGACCCAAAACCATTAATATTATTAGGCCCAGCAATCCCATTACTGTGTGTATACCTAAAGGAATATAAACCATTCTATCATAAAGACACATGCACACGTAAGTTCATTGTTACACTATTCACAATAGCAAAGACATAGAATCAACCTAAATGCCTATCAATGGTAGACTGGATAAAGGAAATGTAGTACATATATACCATGATATACTGTTCAGAAATAAAAACGCTTGAGATCATGCCTTTTGCAGGAACATGGATGAAGCTGGAGGCCATTATTTATACCAAACTAATGCAGGAATAAAAAACCAAATACCACATGTTCTCACTTATAATTGGGAACTACATGATGAGAACACATGGACACATAAAGGGGAACAACACAGGCCGGGCACAGTGACTCGTGCCTGTAATCCCAGTACTTTGGGAGGTCAAGGAGGGTGGATCACGAGGTCAGGAGTTTGAGACCAGCCTGGCCAACATAGTGAAACCCTGACTCTATTAAAAATAGAAAAAATAGCCAGGCATGGTGGCACACGCCTGTAGTCCCAGCTACTGGATAGGCTGAGGCAGGAGAATCGCTTGAACTCAGGAGGCAGAGGTTGTGGTGAGCCGAGATCGCACCACTGCACTCCAGCCTGGGCAACAGTGCGAAACTCTGTCTCAAAAAAAAAGGTGGGGCCGGGGAGCAATACATACTAGGGCCTACCAGAGGGTGAAGTGTGGGAGGAGAGAGAGAATCAGGAAAAATAACTAATGGCCACTAGGCTTACTACCTGGGTGACAAAATAATCTGTACAGCAAACCCCCATAATACAAGTTTACCTATATAACAAAACTGTACATGTACCGCTGAACATAAAAGTTAAAAAAAAGAAATTTATGTAAATTAATGTTGGACTAGAATCCATAGATGCCTTTTTAGGGCATGAGTAAAACATTTAACTCTTGTCATAGAACAGGAACATGAAGATGCTTAATATTTTGCCCAAAGTCAGCATTATTGAAATTTTGTCTTTATTTCATTAAGTGTTTATATTAATTTATATTGCTGCATAAGAAATAATCACATACTTTGTGGGTAAACACAGCGCACATTTATTTGCTCACAATTTGTGTGAATCAGGGGTCTCAGCATTGTGTAGTAGGCACTCCCTTTAGGGTTCTGCAAAAGTGAAAATTATCATCTGTGCAAAGTTTACATCTGGAGACCTGAATTGGGAAAATCCACTTCCAAGCTCACTCAGGCTGTTGTCAGAATTCATTTCTTCACTTTTGTAGGAATGAGGGCTTCAGATTCTTGCTGACCATTCATAGCTATCCTTAGACGCTAGAGGCTTCCCATACTACCTAGAGGCTGTTCACACTTCCTTGCCATGTGAGCCTTTCCAACATGACCACTTTCTTTATCAAGCTAGCAGGTCTGCTAGGAATATGGAGCCTAATGTAATGTGGTGAGTGAAATCCCATCACTTTTGCCAAATTTTTTTGTTTAGAAGCAAGACATGGGTCCCATCCATATTCAAGGAGTAGGAATTACACTGGGATGTAAACACCAGAAGCCAGAGACCATGTAGGGCTACATTAGAGTCTGTTTGTCACACAGTTTATTTATTGGCAGAATATATACATAGGTAGCCTATCAGAAATTTGAATATATCAGATATTACTTTGGTCCTCAGTATATGCTACTTTTCCATTTCAAGAGTCTTAGGGAAACTATAGTCAGTGATGGCTGAATTTGATCCACTGGGCTTCTTTGGTTTTCTCTTTGGTTGCTATACAAAATAAATGTTTGCTTTTAAATTAAACAAAATTAGTATGACATTCCAGCTTTTAGCTTAAGGTTCTAGCCAAGTTCCTGATATATATGTATCACTAAAACACACACATACACATATTTGTATTTTATAGAATAATTGTAAATAAATAAAAAAATACTTTCCTCCATCACTTCCTGTTTTATATAAAATTTAGATTTTTGACAGGGCATTTATTTGCAAGGAAACGAGAAACTTTGTCAGTTCAAACTCAAGGATTTTAGTTTAAAATTTTACTGAAAAATGTATCAATTTTTATACTATGATGAGCACCAAGTAGATATGTATTGCTCTGATATAATTTCATATGTCCAATCCAATTTTGTAGATTCTTTTTGTCTGAAAGTTAGAGGTCAAAAATGGGGGAAAATAATAAGATCAAAAGGAATATAAAAGAGAAAGCTTTTTCTAAATAGAATAGTCTCATGTTGTAATTCAGAGGGTCATGTAATCAAGCAATACTAATTTATGTTTCAAGGATATGAAACAGAAAGGCCTAATAAATTATTTAAAGGAATCCTCCTTCTTCCATTGGTTATTGATTGAATATCTATTAACTAAGAGAAGATAGCATTTCATTACAGCCTTATCCTTAGACAAATTTGCACATCCTTAAATAATGTAATTTTAAAATAGGAAACAGATGAGTATTTTTTCAATGTGTTGATGTTTCAAAAGGTCACAAAAATATGAAAGAGTAAGTGTATTACATTTCTGTGATACCTGAGTTTCATATTTTTTTGCCCCATTTTTCTAAGGCCATTTATTCCCTCCTCTACTTACACCATCACAGTATCTGATATCAATCAATTATACAAAAAGTTTATTTTGGAAAGCAGAAGGGAAAGACAGAATTAAAATGCTCGTTTGTAATGAAATTACTTTGTATGTTTATCTATCAAGTTAGTGGGTTGAGTAGCAGTTTGATTTTCTGCAATATTTTGATGTTTATAATTTACATCTGAAATAAATATTGGGTAATGTAAAAAGTATTTTAATTAATCTAGCTTATTTAAACTATTTATATTTGTTTAGTATTATGCTGTAAAAAATTGTTAAATGTTAACTTTATCTGGAAAATCAGCATAGAAATGTAATATTGGTTAGTGAATGTTTCTTCTTCAGTTACTTGGAAAATACAGGTGAGAATAAAATGTATAAAATAATAAAATTTCAGTTACTTTTAAATCTCAAAGCTCTAGGTTAGTTGATTAGAGTTTCTTGTTAAGTGAGAATGAAACCTATATCCTCTTGTAATTCATCTTTTACTGCTAAAATTCTCTGTAAATATGATGGATTTCTTTTTTATTTTGATAATCACATATTATGCCTAAGGCCTATAATTAAAAATATCATTTAATGTTAAATAAGATTAACATGTACTAAGATTTGAGAGATGTGCAGCTTTCCGTGGATCATAGGACATATCCTGTGAGAGTCAATATATGCACAACTGTTGCCTCCAGAAACTATTAATAAAATGTTGTGCTCTTTTATTAAATAGTTTAATTTTTAATTTTAATTATTTTTAATTTTAATTTTTATTATTTTTGAGACAGAGTTTCACTCTGTCACCCAGGCTGGAATGTAGTGGCATGAACAGGACTCACTACAGCCCTGGCCTCCTGGGCTCAAGCGAGTTCTCCCACCTCAGCCTCCTAAGTAGCTGGGACCATGGGTACATTCTGCCATGCTCAGCTAATTTTCTTACTTTCTGTAGTGATAAAGCCTCGAACTCCTGGGCTCAAGCAGTCCTCCCTCTTCGGCATCCCAAAGTGCTGGTATTACAAGGATGAGCCACTGTGCCCAGCCCACAGAGTTTTAATTATACCTCCTTAGTATCTCTGATAAAGAATTCCTCAGCCGGGTGCGGTGGCTCAAGCCTGTAATCCCAGCACTTTGGGAGGCCGAGGCGGTCAGAACACAAGGTCAGGAGATCGAGACCATCCTGGCTAACACAGTGAAACCCTGTCTCTACTAAAAATACAAAAAATTAGCCGGTTGTGGTGGTGGGCACCTATAGTCCCAGCTACTTGGGAGGCTGAGGGAGGAGGATGGCATGAACCTGGGAGGCGGAACTTGCAGTGAGCCGAGATGGCGCCACTGCATTCCAGCCTGGGCAACTGAGCGAGACTCTGTCTAAAAAAAACAGAATTCCTCAAAAGGCAAGGTAATTTGCATATTGTGTCAGACTACCTACAGTGATTACATTATACCATCACATAATAGACCTTTGCATATTTATTAATAAGGTATATTGGGAATAATATTTTCCCTCTAAAATTTTAGCTGCATACATATAATTATAAATATAAATCAATATGAATCCATAAGTGTTCTTTTGATAAGTGATAAGAATGTTATGAATCCATTATTTACTAATTTGAAACTTTCAAAAAGTCGATAACTGTCCAAATGTATATATTATAATACACTGACAGCCAATATATTACATTATCTGTATGTTCCCTTGTTTTCATTTACAATTTTTATTTCAATTGTTTGTAAAATTATCACATTGACAATAAAACAGACTACTTACTGCATGTTTTTCATTGAATGTGTAAGAAGCAAATGGTAATATTTATATGAAAGGATAATGAGTAATCTACTTCATGCATTTCTGTATAGTTATCTTTTTAAAATATTAATTAATGATGGTTCTAATGTTGACACATATCTCAGGATTATTTCAGGTTTAAAACAAATAAAGCCTGCCTTACTTTATATTGTTGACACGCATTTTGTCACATAATTTTTTTTATTCATCTTGTTATTTAATGCAACTCTAGGCTTTAAATAGGTATTTCACTGAAGCAATCATTGTACTAAAGGAATTTTGTTTAGTAACTAGATTGTATACCCTTCTTGAATATTACACTGGTTAGTATAAATTAATTTGAAGTAATATTTCAGCATACTTTTAATGTGATTTTGTGGTAGGATGCAAAACAAATGATAATTGAATTATTTTATTTAAATGAGAGCAGAGCTTAACTTCTCGTCATGGACATGCTTTATATTTTTTAAACCAGAGGAAGTTAAAGTTTGAAACTCAGTACATATATATCTCTAATACTTTTTATAAATTGTAAGTTAGAACAATTGAAATATAGATGGCAAACCTTTTATAATTTGATTAAATCTAATAGTTATTTTATTTTATCTTTCATGCACTGAAAATCAGGCAGAAATCAAAGTAATATCCTTATGTAGATATTTCAGATCAAAGAAGACAGATCTTGTTATTCATAGTAGTAATATATAAATATAAAATACAGACTCATGATCAATAATAAGGGAAAAATATATGTAATACACACAAACATATACATACATGTGTATACATAATTGTACTTGAAAACCCAATATGTTTTACAAGTGATTGAAAGAAATGATTTTATTTTGAGACATCATAAAAAATTATATTCTTCACAATCTATCACTTTCTTGGAATGTATTTGTCATGATATAGAATTTTATACTGTTCAACAGAGTTTTAATCTCAAGCCCCATTAGGTTTGTTTAAAAGATGAAGAGAATATATTTTTCAATTAGAAACCTGCATTGGTTTTTAAATGGTGTCAAGCAATTCCATGATTCCAGTAGTTTAACTGAGCTGCTGAAATGGCTTGGTGTGGGGACTGTGTGTCAAGGGAGCGTAGACTACTTGGCATGTTCCTTTTCTATCTATTTTATGTATAACTATAAAGAATATGAAGGAAACAGCATAGTAGACTGATGAATTATACGCTGCGCTTGCTGTATACTTGCATTATGTTATTTAATCAGACTTTATTTTTCACAGGAACTCTGTCATGAAGCATGAAGCTAGAGGTTTTTCTTAATGAAAAAAAAGTAAGATTCAGAGAACTTCCAATGTATTTTCCAAGTCTAAGTCTAATCTAACTCCAAAGCTTATAAGCAGCTCCTAGAGGATGTCTCTCCTAATGTAAAGTTAAAAATGACTGATGGGGTAAAATGTATTCATCTTCAGAAAAGGACTTTTAGCAATAAAAATATGTAGCCTGAAGATACAGATCTTGAATAAACGAGGAAAAAACTTTAATACTGCCTATTGTTATTCTGCATTTTAATTATAACATTATTTAGATATGTAAATATAACAGTATTCTGTCCATTGTTTTCTAACTTTTATAAATGCTAGTTTTTGACTGCTTTTAGTGAAAGTTTTGGGACACAATACTATAATTGCTGAAATCATATTATATAATGATTTATTAAAGATTATGTTATATTTTGTTTACTGGCACATGAAGTTTTAATATTCTATGAGATGATTCAATTTTAGATTATTATTTGTTACAGAAGAAGATATTTTTATTTGAAATATTATATCCTTCCTTTTAACAAGTAGCAGAAGAAATCAAATGCATCAAACACAAATCTTATGTAAGTTTCATCATATTAGACATATTTATTTCTTATGAAGTTAACCATTTAAATCTTTAAGTTTTTTATAAAATAATTTAAGTAGTGGTATTTTAAAGCAAAAGACTAAGTATGAGTATAGTCTATAAAGCAAGGAAGCGTGATGACCCTTGTCTGTGTGTGTATTCATCAAGCCTGAATACTTACTGTGAAAAGAAGAGTAAAAGGATACTTCATAGAGGAATAATGTAATTGAGGGGAAAAAGAGTGAACTCTGAGCATGTACAGTTTGCTCTATGCCAAACCTTAAACCTCAGGATCACAGGAATTTCTCCCCTGAAGAACGAAATCCAGCATTGCAATATCATGGGACGTGGAAAATCTCATGAGAAATTATGGCTTCTAGCTGAACTACCAGTTCTGTGCCCCTATCTAAGGGCAAACTTAATCATAATCTTGGAACCTAAACTTTTTTCTACAACTGAATCTTCTACTCCATATTTAATCTTACTCTGACATTAGGTTCAATATCTCCATATTGTACATTTTTATGACAAAATCTCTACAAACAGAGGGTGCTCCCATTCCTAGGATGATTCATTTTAGTGATTTCAAAGGATGTGTGCGGGGATGACTGTCAGTGTCTCTGCTCATTCTTCACCCACTCTTTGGGAAGACTCTTTTGAAACATCTTTGTTTTTTTCTGAAATCAAAATGATCATGATCATCTATATTCTCTTCTCATTATCAATATAAAAAATCTACTTGTTTATTTTAAAAATTACATATTGGGGGCATTCTTATAATTATAGTTCTTTTTTGGCAAACTGTATAACAAGTTTTAAGAACATTTTGGGAATTTTTAAATTTTTGGGGAATAGACAAATTATCCTTAAATAGGAGTTTGTTAAAGAAATGTGCAAAATGCATATGATGGAACACGTTACGCTCATTTAAAATGATAATGGAGTTCTGTATAGACACAAAAGTTATCCATGAGTTTACTAAGAAAGAAGAAATAAACTCACAAAATCACCTACAGTAGAATCCATTTTTTAAAGTATTTTATAAGCAGATAAGAAATAAAAAAAATACTGCTAAATATTGTTGTTGATTGCCCCAGGGAAGTGACATTTTGAGTGATTTTTAGTTTCTTTTTCTTTTTTCACTTGACTATACATCTATTTTTTTCAGTGACCATATATTTTTATTTTTTGTTGTTATAAGGAAACACAACTCTCTGACTTGCATTGAATCAAGAAGTTTAATAATTGAAATTCAAAGATCATTAACCATTGTTTGCATCTTAACAGATTTATTTGAGTAGTTAATTACTCTAAGACTATATCCATGCAATGTGTCTTACTGTGGTCTGAATGGTAAGTAATAATTGTATTAATTAAATTGATTGATCATAAATCAAAGAATGAGTAATGAGTGGGATCACAAGTTCAGTTATTTTAGTAATTCAGTGGTAGACTAAATGGCATGCATAGTAACATGCTACGTGGACACTTCCTCTCCTTTTCCATAAACCTGAGAAATATCAATAATAAAAAAGTAAATAGATTTAACTGCAGAAATTCTATAATACCATTCATTCCAGTGTTATTCTCTGGTCTGGGGAAAATTCTGTGTGTGTGTGTGTGTGTTTGTGTGTGTGTGTGTGTGTGGTTATTGTGATGAATCACAGGTAATTTGCAAAGTATTAAATGTCTTTTTAAAACTCAATTAATTAATCACTGTTGATTAATCAATTAATGGAATCCTCTGTCCCGGGTTGTTTACTACTCTTCACCCTCTTTCCATTAGATTGGTTTCTGTATCATGAACTGCATAGTTGTCAAAATATTTTCTTCTAAAATATTATAAAAAAGGTAATTAGCATTTTCATTTTTAGACCAAATAAGCGTATCAGCTCTGACATAGCTGAGTAGCCTTTGAAAAATTTCATAAACAATAGCTAATAAGTTTTAAGGATAAGACAGCAAATTTAACAGAAGTATAAATAGAGTAACCAGTAGTAAGAAGTACACCCAGGATTATGAAAACTAAGAGGGAATATAGTTCTCGTAGAGAAATAAGAAATGAATTTTTAATTGCCTATTAATCATATTGGAACATAGGTTAATTGTTCAATGTTTATTGAGCGCAATGAAAGGTAAGGTACAGCTTTGCTGCCCAAAGATTTCCAGAGTAGTAACTCATATAACTCACTTATCATATTTCTTACAGGTAGTCTTTTTTATGTTTATGTTTCATTCTTCTTTGACTTCATTAAGCCAAGTTTCTCCTTGCTCTTATGTTAATCCTCTGTTTTTTTGCTATCTGTTGTATGTCTCGTCTACTTTTATTTCACATGTTATCTGAGCTAAGAATCAGCTCTGCTCTTTATGCTGCCTCCCCTCCATCACCTAGGCTTTTAATAAAATCATTTTTTGCCTTGTCTCTTGCTTTTTCCCTTCACTTAATTTTACCTTTTAAAGATCCCTGTATTAACACTAGCATAATCCATTGTTAGAGCAGTGCAAGCTTTCATTGTCCTCCAATCAAAACGAACAATCGAACAAACAAGATGAAACAGAATAAGCTTAAAAGAAAATCAAAATTGCTTTTAGAACATTGCTTTCAGAAAGTCTTCATCTAATGGATACTTATTGCTCCTAATACTAACTTCATTTTATAAACGACTTTCAGGGGGAAAAAACCCACAAGCATAAACCTTTGTGACCTTGGATTTCACATTAGTTTCTTAGATATGATATCAAGTGCATAAGGACCAACAATACATAAACTAGACATCATCAAAGTTAAAAATTTTGAACTTCAAAGAATTCCTTCAAGAAAGTAAAAAGGCAACCCATCTAGTGAAAAAAGTTTTGCAAATCATATATATATATGAAGGAACTTGTAGCTAGGACATATAATTCTTATAACTCTACAGTAAAAAGACAAAGAATCTGAATAGACATTTACCCAAAGAAGATATAGGAAGGACAAATACACACATGAAAAGATGCTCAACATTGGTAGCTGTAAGGAAAATGAAAATCAAACCACAATGAGATACTACTTCAAACACACTGTGATGCTTGTCACTAAAAAGACAGATAATAACAAGTGTTGGCTAGGATGCAGAGAAATGGGATTCCTCATACATTACTGACAGGAATGTAAAATTGTTCAGCCCCTTTGGAAATAGTCTGGTCGTTCCTTAGGTAGTAACATATAATTCAGCAATTCCATTCCAAAGTGTATACCAAAAAGAAATTAAAACATTTTTCCACCAAAAGCCTTTATAAAATATTAATGGCTATATTATTTATAATATAAAAAATAGAAAATAGCCCAAATGTCCATCAAGTGATAAATGGACAAATAAAATATGGTATATTCATACAATATTTCTTAGTTCATTCAGGCTGCTATAATAAAATGCCTTAGACTTCTTAATTTATACACAACAGAAGTTTATTTCTCACAGTTCTGGAGACTGAGAAGTCCAAGTACAGGATATCAGCAGTGTCTGGTGAGGTCTTGCTTCCTCTTAGTGCCTTCAAGCTGTGTCTTCACATGGTGAAAAGGGCAAACAAGCTCCCTCAGGCCTCTCTTATTGGGGTACTAATCCCATTTATGAGGGCTCAGCCCTCATGATCTAATCACCTTCCAAAGGCCACACCTCTTAATGCTATCACCTTGGTGGTTAGTCTTCAGTGTATGTATTTTTTGGGGACACAAACATTCAGGCCATAGCACAATAGAATATTATTCAGCAATATGAGGGAAAGACAGGCTGATATATGCTACAATGTGGATAATCCTTCAAAACATTGTGCTAAGTGAAAGGGTAGCACAAGGGATCACATATTGTATGTTTCTACTTATGTGAACTATCTACAATAGGTAAATATAGAGACAAAATATAGATTATTGTGTGCCTAAGAATAGGGTAGATGGAAAGATTTGGAAGATGATCACTAAAGGTTGCGTGGTTTCTTTTTGAGTTAATGAAATATTCTGGAGTTAGACAGTGGTAAAAGTTGTACAACTCTGCAAATGTACTAAAGGCCATTGAATTGTATAATATATGAATCATATCTCCACAAAGTTGCTATAAAACAAAACAGCTAAAACAGGTCAGTGTTGGTCCAAGTCTTCAATATTCACTACCCCTTCCCCTCTTTTCATAACTGACATGAATCAGCAACAAATCTATATAATATGAAGCACTAAAGAGTAGTAGAGGCCAATAGAGAAGCTGGAAGCAAGAAAGTGGTGGATCATGCTAAGAAGAGATTATATTCCACTAGACCTCAAGCAACAACAAACGATATGTTTTTCTAACATGTACATTTACTGCAAGTTAGAAAACTCATTCAATGTTCAAGAAATGTCCCTTTGCCCACTATAACTGATCTCCCAGCTCCAAAATGACCTCAAGTCTCTTGATTACTTTATTCCACTCATTTACCATTCAAAACCACCCTTGGCTCTAAAGTCTCTAAGTTTCATATCCAGCCAAATCTTAGATATATCATATTAGTTATTCTCTTGCCATTCCTATTGACTGTCTTTTCTCAACGTCAGGTGCCTTAAGTCAATGATTCTCTATTAATACAACCATCAAATTCTCTTTTCCTACACCCTAGCTTCTGAGCACTTCTGGGCCCCTGTGACATCATAGTTTCCAATATTAAATGACTCTTTAGTGCTGTCATTCAGACTTACATGTGCTTGTACCATGCTTTCTTTCTCATTATTTATAATTGGTTTTCAAAATTTGTATTGTTTTCCTCATTCCACCACACTGAATGGCTTCAGATGATTTGTCACAAACGCACAGGAAATCTAGAGGCAACAGAGGAATATTTATCTTACATTTTTGTCCATTACTCTACAAACTAATCTCATGTACAGGTACCAACTTTTTGTTTTTTTAATTATTTAATTATATTTTTCTAGTCCAGGCATGATGTCTTCACCAAATTTGGTTCCAACAATTTACCTCCAACTTTTATTAATGACCCCATTTATATGCTAATCTTAAACTTCTTTTTTATTTTCTCTTTCCCTTAGTATATACATTTTCTTAGTTCTCCCATTAAAAAAAAAAAAAAACAAGCAAGGAAAACTTAGGCTTTCTCTATCTTGCCTGCAAAGTTTCTTACATTTTGAGCTAATATTTATGACAGAATAGGTTGTATTCCTGCTCTATCTTTTCTTATTGCTTTGTTTATTCCTCTACCTTCTATTACTTCATTTATATATACATTCATATAGACAAATTATATTTATTAACACCTGTTTTATTAGAAGGAATGTTTCAGGTTCTGGAGATACATCAATGCATAACACTGATAAAGACATTGCCTTTCATGAGGCTTGCATTCTAGAGGGGTTAACAGACAATTTTATATATATATATATATATATAACCATCTGATGGTAATTATGTGCAATACAGAAACTAAAGCAGGTTAAATGGATAAAGAATGCTAGAGGCCTGAAAGAAGTGAGGGTATTAGCCACTTGAAATTGGGGGTAAGCAATTTTCAGGCAAAAAGAACAATGAATATAGACGCTCTCCAGATTTGGTGTTTATTTTAGAAAAAGAGTAGCTAGATCAGAGAAAGTAGACAGGGAATGGTGGGAAGCCTGAGAACATGTACAGTGTTTTAGCCATTTTAAAATAGCTTTACTTTTTGTTCTTATTGCACGGGGAAAAAATTGGGAGATTTTTGAGTTGTGGAATCTGACCTATATTAACAGGGTCCCTTTGAGTGACATGTGCAGACATATCTGTGGGGGGCGGGGGAGCAAAGAAACAGGAAAGTCAGTTAGATAACTATTGGAATAATCTAGAAGATATGCTGGTGTATGAACTAGCAGTGAAAGTGGAAGCAAAAGTGGTCGAGTATTAATTTGTTTTGAAGGCAGAACCGATAGGATTTTCTGATGAAATGACTATCGTATCTCAAACCATCTGAGAAATGAATAGGACTCAAGTATGAATTGAATGATTTGCAGTTGCCATTTACCGGTCCTATTTTGCAAAGATTGGACTCCATTTATGATGTATTCAGTTGGAGATGCCTATTAGATATCCCAGATCATACGTCAAGTAGGCATTTGTATACGTAAGACTCTTATCTCAGGAGTGTGGTCCACGCCACAGATATACATTTCAGAGTCATCAGTATATGGATAGTATTTAAAACCATGGGTGAAGAAGAGCCCACACAAAAAAGGAATAAAGATAGAGAAAAGAATTATGAAGACTGATTGCTGAGGCCTTCTAAACTTTTGAAGTTGTGTAGACAAAAAGGAAAACAGGGGGAAAAGACTGAAAGATAGAATGCAATGAGATACCAAGTGAATGAAGAGATTGTGGTGTCCCAAAAGTCAAATTTAAAAAGTGGAATAAGACAAGAACTGAGGGTTGACCACTTTACTTTGCAATGTGGAGGTTAATTATGAGCTCGTCAAGAACCACTTTGGTAGACAAACATCTTCACCAGGAGCACAGACATCACTGGTTATGCATTGTGAGAGAATGGAAGGAGAGGAAAAGAAGCAGGTGAATCTGAAGAAAGCAGTTTTTTTGTAAAGGGGATTTGAAAGCGAAACTGGGTTACAGTCAGAATTTTTTTTTTTGGATAAGTTTGGATAAATACTATGTATGCTGTTATGAATAATGCAATCCGGAGTAAAAGTAGTTATGCATTATGGGTAATAACTGCTTGAAAAATAGTCTTTACTAGGTGAGAAGGAATGTGATAAGTGCATAAATGGAGGAGTTGGACTTTGCTAAGGTCTCCATATTAACAATACAGAAAACAAAGTATATAGGTGTAGGTCAGCTATAAGGTATATATGATTTTATAATCCTGTGGAAGTTCTCTTTTGATTTCTTCTCTTTTCTCAATGATGCAGGATGTAAGATAATTAGCTAAAAATCAAACTGAATAAGAGGGTAGGGAAATGATATTGAATGTTTTAAGAGACAGACAAAGGGTGTGAAATAGTCAACTAGGAAAGTGAGAGAGTAAATGGGTTAGACAATACCAGGATTTACTTGAATTCAGGTTATGAATTTGAACTTTGACTAGAAGGCATGGTTGTGTGTATCTTTGTGTGTATTCCTCAGCCACATTTCCCTATTTGCTTGTTAATACATTATAGAAAATAGTAGCATTTGTTTTCAATCTAACACTTTTACTACGTAGGAATTAATATAAGTGTACTTGCCTCCTTAAACACCTGTGTGAGTGTTTCTTTAGAATAGGTACCCCAAAGTACAATTGCTTGGTAATAGCAAACGAAATATTACAATTATTGACAGGCACTGTGGCACATGCCTGTAGTCGCAGTTACTCAGGAGTTGAAGTGGGAGGATTATTTGAGTCCAGTTCAAGACAAGTCTGGGCAATATAGTAAGACCCTGTCTCACTATATTTAAGACAAAAACAACATTTAAGATAAAAATCTTAAATGTTTAGTTTTTTCACCCATTAACATGAAATATTTGTATTATTTCAGATGTTCCTTAATGATCTTGGGTAAAGTTTTAGTGTGTTTTATTGAAGTTTGGTAAATAAAAACAAACAAAAACAATTATAATTATTAAATAGCTACAGCCAAATTGTTCTTCAAAATGGTTGCACCAATTTATAATACATTCTCACTAGCTGCATATAAGGTGAGAGCACCTACTTCCTCACATTTTCGCCAATGCAGCACATATTTTTTCACTCATTATTCTATTCCTTTTCTAATTGATTTTCAAGAATTTTTTCATTCTGAATACTAATATCTTGTCTTTTATTTCCATTGCAAATATTTTTTTACAAATTTATTTTGAGCTACAGGATTTTAACTGTATTCCTTCTAAGCATATAGCCAATTAACCATGCCATTTATTGAATAATCTGTCCCTTCCTTATTGACTTGAAATTTTACCTTTAATATAGAAAAATCCTTATAAACACATTGGCCTATTTTTTTAAACAATTTTGTTCTACTTATTTATTTATTAAGTTCTTAGGTCATTGTTTCTATTAGTATGGTTTTTACTATAATAAGAGTGCTCCTTGCCCCTTTTTTTTTCTTTATAGGACTTAGTGTGCTATGGAATATTATATATTTACTTGCTGTTTTATTAATTGTTTATTATTTATCCTTCCCACTAGAATGTAAGCTCCATGGGGGAAGAATGTCAGTTCATTCACAATGAATCTCGAGTGAGACATAATAGTTACTCAAATATAAGTTAATCAGATAAATGAATGAATTAATTAAAAACTTTAAAATATACATTGATATTGATAGGACAGGCCTTTCTTCTTTAAGTTTTCAAAATATTATTGGCTACTGTTGTATATTTACTTTTCCATACATATTTTATAATCAGTTTCTCACGTCCCATGGAAGATTGTTTTAGATTTTGAAATGGAGTCCCACTGAACTTTTAAATAATTTGGGAAAAGATAAAAACTTGAAATGCTGAGTTTTGTCATCCATTAACATATTTGTTATATATACAAGCACATATATTTAAGGTGCTTTTTTGAAGTGTGGTAAGTAAAAATTGTAAATATTTATTGCTAAGTTCATTCATATGATGTATTATAGTTATGTTCTATATTGTAAACAGAATTATTTTTCAGTTATATTTTCAAATTGCTTATTACTGGCATACAGAAAAAATAGGTAGGTATCTTTATATGTTGAGCTTATATTCAGCTACATAGCTGAACTTCATCATTATTTCATTTTTTTGGTATATTAATTACCTAGAGTTATACAATGAACAGATTATTGTCTATAAATAATGACAACTTGTTGTATTTTTTCCAATGTATATACCTTTTACTTGTCTTTTATTCACTAGGATCTCCAATATAATCCTAGTTGTAGAACTGAAAGCAGATATATTTGTCTTGTTCTTAACGTAAATATGAATGCCTATAATATTTCATCATTAAATAAAATGCTTGTTTTAGGTTGTTGATCTATATCCTTTATGAAGGTTGGGATCACATTGAGGAAAACGAGGAAATGTGAATGTGATAAAATGTTCTTAGTAAATATTGAAAAATATTTTAATGGAATTCTTTCCTATAACATGGTTAGAAAATATATTTATTATTTTATTATATTTACAACATTGAAGACATAATTATAATTATGTAATAATTCTTAAAACAAACTAAGAATAAGTGAAATGTTAATTTTATAACATTTTTTCTGACAAAATTATAAGATATATAAACACAAATATTTCCCTTCACTTTTAACATTTAAAATGAGCAAATATAAGGCAATTTTTACAATAATATTTGTGAGTTGAATCAAAATCTCCAACTCTCTTAATACTTTGATATTCAAATCATTTATTAAAAATATATATATTTAATTATCTTTGTACATTGTTAATTTAACTTTTAAATGATGTAACTTCTTTTTTATTATTGTATTATTTATTATCATTATTATTATTATTATTATTATTATTATTATTTGAGATGGAGTCTCACTGTGTTGCCCAGGCTTCAGTGCAGTGGTGCGATCTCGGCTCACTGCAAGCTCCGCCTCCCAGGTTCACGCCATTATCCTGTCTCAGCTTCCCGGGTAGCTGGGACTACAGGTGCCTGCCGCCACGTCTGGCTAATTTTTTTTGTATTATTTTTAGTAGAGACGGGTTTTCACCATGTTAGCCAGGATGGTCTCCATCTCCTGACCTCATGATCTGCCCACCTTGGCCTCCCAAAGTGCTGAGATTACAGACGTGAGCCACCGTGCCTGGCCTAAATGATGTGACTTCTAAATGAGGTTTTAATTTTGAAATATCTTTGGTTTTGATTGATGCAGTGTCTCAACATCACTTTAATAATCTTCATAAAATTATGTACCTCTGTAAAGATAAACATCTTAATTTCATCGTAGACACTTACATGCAAATACACTGATGTGATCATATAGGATATAAATTGTAATGCGGGGAAAATTGAGCAAAAAATAATTTTTCAAGTGGCCAATTTAATAATATTTACATTTACATATGTATATAAATGTGTGTGTAAACACATACATACATAAATACACACACACACAAAGAGAGAGAGAGAGAGATAGAGAGATGGTCTTATAGTTATTATGGGGTTATGTCCCAATAAACCCATTATAAATTTAAAACATTATAAGTCATATCAGTCAAAAATTTCTTTAATACACAAAACCTACTAAACATCATAGCTTAGCCTAGGCTGCCTTACATGTGTTCAGAAGATTTACAGTAGTGCACAGTAGGGCATAATCATCTAACATAAGGCCTGTTTTATCATAAACTGCTGAATATCTCATCTAATTTATAGAGTATTGTACATCATGTAGAAATTATGATGATTTCACAACATCTTAAAGTTGAGAAATTGTAAGGTAAAAGATTCTAAATTGGGATTGTCTGTATGTACACTCACATACACACACACACATATATAGTCGTACATCACTTAATGATGTGGATACATTCTCAGAAATGTGTTATTAGGAGATTTTGTCATTGTGCAAAAATCATAGAGTGTACTTAAATAAATCTAGATGATACAGTCTACTACAAATCTAGACTATCTAGTATAGCTCTTAGTCTACAAACTTGGTAAGCAGGTTACTGCATTGAATGCTGTAGGCAATTGTAATGTAATGGTATTTGTGTATGCAAGATATCTAAACAGAATAAATCTAAACAGAATAAGCCCATTGTGTTGGGCTACAATGTTATGAAAGCTACCACATCAGTCTGACCTTGATGAAAATGTTGTCATATGGCACATGGCTGTATATGGCTAAACAGTATATATATATATATATATATATATATACACACACACACACACACACACACACACAATTTTTGTTACCTCCAATTTTTCTAGATGTCAGGTAATTTACCAGAAAGAGTTGTTTTCTGATCATAACTCTCCTGATGAAAATGGAATCTGGTCCAGCCAGAATGAAGAAACTGACAGACGATGATGATGAAAGCAATCCCCAGCTGTCCACATTGCTCATTAGCATAAGACACTCCCACCAGTGCCATCACAGTTTGCAAGTGCCATGGCAACAATTCAGAACTTACCACCACTTTCCATAGCAATTACCTAGAAGGTTCCAAACCTTTCCTGGAAAATTCTAAATGACCCGGTCCTCAATTTGCATTGACCACCCCTTAATTTGCATGTAATCGTAAGTGGGTTTCCATGAACACAATTACAGTTGTCAAGAGCCCATATATTGCTGACTCTGGGCACACTGCCTGTGAGTTAGCCCTGCTCCATAATGAGCAGTACTGTTCAAGAAAGATTGCTATCTAATACCACTGCCTCACCTTGAATTATTTCCTGGGCAAAGCCAAGAACCCTCTCAAGCTAAGCCCCAGGTTTGCTGCTTGCCTGTCCTGCATCATCTGGCTACCATGAAGTGATGAAGATGACAAGAAAGAGGCAGTGACCAATATGGCAGTGAGACAACAGACAGAGCAGCGATCAGTGGAGAGACAGTGAGCCAGTAGTGATCAGAAAAGAGGCAAAAAGATAGCAGAGAGGTGGCAATTGGAGATAGATGGAGAGATGGTGGTCAGTAGGACAGCAAGACAGCAAGAGGAAGTGATTTACAAGAGATGGTGAGATGGTAATCAGTGCCAGAGCTGTAACACTAGCCAAAGTCTCTTTGAAGAGCCATCATCTTTCCTGGTGGGCAGCAGACCTGAGTGAATGGACAGGCAACCATAACACTGTCACCTCATGTGGGACCTGCTATTCTGGCCGTCAGGCCAATGGGCCACTAGTCATCATGTCTGTCCCCATGTGGCACCTGAGCCCACTCAAGTTGAGGGAACCTGTAGAGACCTTCACCCAGGTCACACGTGGAAGACTGGTCAGCACCATTTTGGCTCCTGCAGATGGGTGCATCTCCCCTCTGCTCTTCCACCACGATATTGGTTAAGCTAGAGAATAAAAGCTTCTGGCTAGGTGGCGAGTCGAAAAGTCCCTTTTTGGGTGCCCGGAACCATGTCTTTATCACCCCTTCCCCTGGTCCTTTTTCCTCTGACAGCATCTTATTGCTCTACCAGCCATTTTATTTTCAGTCCTAAAATGTATGTTTTGTATGCAGTCCTTTTAAAAATTATTATTATTATTTTGCTTTGACTCCCTGGGCAATGTTTAAGGCAGGACCATTTATTTTAAGAGATCCCCTGTTGTGTTGACTATAGAATTCCAGGGTCACGTTGTTCTGTGTCCCCAGCTAGGCCTTTGGGGTTCACTGTTGGCCACCCCCCAGATGCTACAGGGTTTTTGGCATTTTTCAACCCCTGGATACTGTGGGGTTTCTGGCATTTAGTTTGGGAACCCTTACTGGCTAATAGTTGGGTACTCTGAGTTTTGAGCATTTGGTATTATTAGCCGCCCCCTGGATGCTCCAGTGTTTTCAGTATTGGCATTCCTTTTAAGACTGTAGGGTAGAAAACCAGTCTAGGGGTTTGCCTTTTCTTGTATTCTGCCCTAAAGGTATTATTTTTTATAAGAGCAACTTATTTTCCTATACTTGATTTACACTTTTCTTTCTACATTTTGCTTAATAAAAATACTTATTTTGTCATATTTTATTCACTGACAAATGCTTGTAACCCCTTTCATAATACATTATTTACACCTTCTCTGCAGGAAGTGACAATCTAAAAGAAAAAAAAATAATTAAAGCCAAGTTGATTTTCCTCTCATTTGACTTAGAAAAACTTCTGTGATAAGTAGAAATCCTTGTTAGACATGTAAATAATGATAGGTATTTCAGAGGACTCACCACTAGCATGTATTTTAGGTTATTAGAGCATTTGAAATTCAGCTTAGAAAACAGAAACTCCTTTTCTATTGCAACACCTCTTGGGTCCAATAAAAATGAGAAAACCAAGAGATTTGGCCTAAACATGGTTCTATACATTATATTGCTATTTTACAACTGGACTTATTCTGTTTTTTTTTTTTTAAAGGAAAATGGAAGGAGGTCCCTTGTGTACAGGCTTTTATGGCCTTATACTGGCTCCTGTTAATTTTAGGCACCAGAAAGTCATGCCCAAGGGATTCCTTCCTAGTGGCTCCCCCTAGAAGACCTACACCCTCTGTAGCCTACTTATTTCACCAATTCTGAGAGAGGTATATCCAGTATGTAAATAAAGGATTCCATCCCAAGGTTATCAGGCACCCCTCCTCCTTATCTAATTCACCTCAGCCTATACCAGCCTCTGTCCAAGGAAGTAAACCCAACCAGTACCACTGGGAGTGGGGCACCTAATCAGCCTTTAAAATCAAACCTGAGTCCACTCTGGGAGGTAGCTGATAGAAATTGGGAAATATTTATAGTACATATGTCATTTTCTATGTGTGATTTAGCTTTATACAGTAAAAAATTTGGCCAGGTTTCAGAGGATCCAGAAAAGTGTATGCAGGAGTTAAATACATTGCCTGATTTCTTTAATTTAATGGTCGTGATTTGCAAGTATTGTCCTCTCCTTGCTGTGCCATAAAGAAAATGCAGACAAAAATGTGTGTGGCCTCAAATTGACATCTTAACAACACAACTAAAATAACTAGAGAACCAAGAGCAAACAAATCCCCAAGTTAGCAGAAGACAAGAAATAACCAAGATCAGAGTGAATTGAGAAAGATAGAGACACAAAAACCCTTCAAAAAATCAACAAATTCAGAAGCTATTTTTTTGAAAAAATTAACAAAATAGATAAACCACTAGCTAGACAAACAAGGAGAAAAGAGGGAAGAATCAAACAGACACAATAAAGAATGATAAAGGGGATATCACAACTGACACCAAAGAAATACAAATAAACATGAGAGAATACTATAAACAACTTTATGCAAATAAACTAGAAAATCTAGAAGAAATTGGTAAATTCCTGGACACACACTCCTTCCCAAAACTGAACCAGGAAGAAGTTGAATCCCTGAATAGACTAATAACAAGTTCTGAAATTGGGGCAGTAATAAATAGTCTACCAAACAAACAAACAAACAAAAAAGTCCAGGACCAGATGGATTTACAGCTGAATTATACCAGAGGTACAAAGAGGAGCTGGTGCCATTTATTTCAAAATGATTACAAAAAATTGAAAAGGAGGAACTTCTCCCCAACTCATTCTATGAAGTCTATGAAGTCAGAATTATCCTGATACCAAAACCTGGCAGAGATACAACCAAAAAAAGAAAACTTCAGGTCAATATCCCTGATGGACATCAATGCAAAAATCTTCAATAAAATACTGGCAAACCAAATACAGCAGTGTATCAAAAAGCTTATTCACCACGATCAAGTCAGCTTCATCCCTGGGATGTAAAGGTTGTTGAATATACGCAAATCAATAAATGTAATCCATCACACAAACAGAACTAAAGACAAAAACCACATGATTATCTCAATAGATGCAGAAAAAGTCTTTGATAAAATTCAACATCCTTTCATGTTAAAAACTCTCAATAAACAAGGTATGGATAAAACATACCTCAAAATAATAAGAGCCATTTATGACAAACCCACAGGCAATATCATACTGAATGGGCAAAAGCTGAAAACCAGCAAAAGACAAGCATGCCCTCTCTCACCACTCCTATTCAACATAATACTGGAAGTTCTGGACAGGGCGGTCAGGCAACAGAAAGAAAAAAAGGGTATTCAAATAGAGAGGAAGTCAAACTGTCTCTATTTGGAGATGACATGATCATATATCTAAAAAACCCCATCCTCTCAACCCAAAAACTTCTTAAGCTGATAAACAACTTCAGCAAAGTCTCAGGATACAAAAGGAATGTGCAAAAATCACAACCATTCCTTTACATCAACAACAGACAAGCAGAGAGCCAAATCATGAATGAACTCTTGCTAAAAAGTTCGCAATTGCTAAAAAGAGAATAAAATACCCTAGAATACAGCTAATAAGGGAAGTGAAGGATCTCTTCAAGGAGAACTACAAACCGCTGCTCAAGGAAATCAGAGAGGACACAAACAAATGGAAAAACATTCCATGCTTATGTATAGGAAAAATTAATATCATGAATATGGCCATACTGCCCAAGGTAATTTATAGATTCAATGCTATTCTCAAAAAACTACCATTGGCATTCTTCACAGAATCAGAAAAAAACTACTTTAAAATTCATATGGAGACAAAAAAGAGCCCTTATAGCCAAGACAATACTAAGCAAAAAGAACAAAACTAGAAGCATCATGCTACCTGACTTCAAACTATACTACAAGGCTACAGTAACCCAAACAGCATGGCACTGGTACAAAAATGGAAACAAAGACCAATGGAAAAGAATAGGGAACTCAGAAATAAGACCACACATCTACAACCACCTGATCTCCCACAAACCTGACAAAAGCAAGCAATGGGGAAAGGACTCCCTATTCAATAAATGTGCTGGGAGAACTGGCTAGCCATATACAGAAAATGGAAACTGGGTCCCTTCCTTACACCTCATGCAAAAAATAAATCATGATGGATTAAAGACTTAAGTGTAAAATCC